>NW_025791794.1:0-122722 GCF_000001405.40 Homo sapiens
GAATTCAAGAGCAAATATCCATGGTTTTTAAATCTCTTAAGTTTCAAGCGGAAGATCAAACACAGTGTGTAAGCCTGGAGAACTAAAAATAACCTATAATTCAAGTTGACATTGTGAGATGTATGTATACAACCATCTTCTACAATCTATGTACTTTCTTAATAGTATGTCTGATGACTAGAAATGTTCTTAATTTTAATTAAGTCCAACTTATAAATTTGCTTTTATGTTTAGTGCTTTTGTGTATTTTTAAGGAGATATTTGCCTATTCTGTCATTCAGGATCCAGTAAGAAGACAAAAATCACACAGTAATTTGAATAGAGTTTATAAATACAAATACTTATTAATTTCATAAGGAAATCAACTTTAAAGAAGGTAAAGACAACGCTGAGTAATACCCTAGAGCTAAGAGAGAATATTGAAAGAAAAAACAAACTTGGAAAATGGGGAAGGTACTCCCCAAGCCCGAGGTTGAAACTTCATTTGAGAATGCATAGTCTTAGCATCCTGGATGCCAGAAAAGGTCATTACATTGCATGTGTTTAGAAAGACACTTCTGTGGGGTATAGGTGAACCAAGGCTGAGAGACTAAGATTCCTTTTCAGGACTGAGTAGTAGGAAGCACCAGGTGAGCTGAGGCTTGTAGGCAGGGAACTATAGTTGGCATTGGCAAGCAAATGATAACCCCCCTTTGAAGTACAGGTGGGCAGCAAATCACAGTTTGGACTGACAAGCTGGAAACACCCCTCCAGGGTCCAAATAGGTTATTTGGGAAGCCAGTCCCTAGAGTAACTGCAAGACTCAGTAAGAGTCTAGCCATATGGGTATTGTTGAAATTTGATAGGATGAGTATTACTAAATATTTCTCATTACACGCCTCTGGTAGAAGAGAGAGAATAATCAAAGAGAAGTACACACGAACTTCTCTTACAAGTGTCCCTGCGGCACCCTCTGCTGGCCAAGTTTAACATCATGAATCTGTGAAGGAAAAAATGTCCATTGAGCCCAGTTCCATTGTTGCAGAGTAAGCAATGAAGTCTATATTTGAAACTGGGACAATAAATAAATAACTGACACATTTGCTGATATTATCAATGATGTCCTTCTGTGTAATTTTTGAAAGTTGTAAGGCTTTCCTTTTGATATTTCTAAATACAACACATGTAGAATTTATTTTTATGAATGATGAGGTAAGGTCAAGGCATATTTTTTGATATGAATACATAGTTCAGTCAGAACTATGTAAAAGAAAATAAAAATTGAAGGACCCCCCAAACTTGTGCAGAAGTAAAGACTAAGTCCTGAAGCTGAATCATTGCAACACTCTCTTCCACATGAATAACTGTTACTAACATTATATATCAGCCAGACTGGAAAGGTAAATGGCCTCAGGCATCTGGGAAGGGCTACCCACAGATCATTCATAAGTAAATTCTTTGCTTGCCTCCCATAAACAAGGACACGCTAGTTGTAAATTTAGGTCCACAATCCAGGTCTAGCTCCTAAAACTCCACACCGATTATGTCACTTACAAGTTTATCTTCCCAGGTGCAGAAAAGTCAAGATTCATTTTCTTCACCTACCCAGAGACGACTACATGATTGAGTCTTCCTTTACTCCCTTTCTCGCTTCAGACATTCACCTTATCTTACGTAAAATGTAGATTTACTGAACACTAACTGAAGTCTCAGGAATGTAACTATTTCCCCTACTGCCCAACCTACATGCCTCCCCCTTCCCCCTTTTAAGGAAATGGATAAATACACAATGTCCTGAAAACCTTTGTGGAAATAGCCACAGATGTGTCGGTGGCTTTTGTTTTTCCCAGAAGTGCCCTAAACCTGGCTTAATAAACTTCAGTGATTGAGACTTATGCCTCAGTGACTCATTTTGGTTTTCAATCATCTATTGAATAAAGCATTATTCATCCCCTGTACCACAGTGCTTCCATTGTCATATGGTGAAAATGTATATATTTGGGTCTATTTCTCATATTTCTCTTCTGTTCCATTGGACATAATTTTCTATCATTCTGCTAATCCATGACTGTTGTTAATTATGATTTTATGGTAGGTTTTGTTATAAGGTAGTGTGAGCCCAACAGTATGAGGGTTACTTGTTCAAATGCCCTTAACTATGTTGGTATTTGATATGGTTAGGTTTTTTGTTCCCACTCAAATCTCAACTTGAATTGTAATTCCCATTATCCCCATAATCATCACATGTCAAGGGAGAGACCAGGTGGAGGTAATTGAATCATGGGTGCTGTTTCCCCCATGCAGTTCTTGTGATAGTGAGTGAGTTCTCACAAGATGTGATAGTTTTATAAGAAGCTCCTTACCCTTTGCTTGGCACTTCTCCTTCCTGCTACCTTGTGAAGAAGGTGCCTTCCTTGCCCTTCCCCTTCTGACATGATTGTAAGTTTGCTGAGGCCTCCCCAGCCATGCCGAATTGTGAGCCAATTAAACCTCTTTCCTTTATAACTTAACCAGTCTCAGGCAGTTCTTTATAGCAGAATGAAAATGAACTAATACAGTAAATTTGTACCAGGAGTGGAGTGGGAGTCAAAAGTGATCATTTTGAAACTTTAAGGTTTAATGACTTCCTTGTTGGATTTGAGATTTGCATAGGGCCTGTAGCCCCTTTATTTTGGCCAATTTATCCCATTTGTAATGAGTATATTTACTTAATGCCTCTACCCCCATTTTATCTAGGAAGTAACTAACTTGCTTCTGATTTTACAGGCTCATGGGTGGAAGGATCCTGCCTTGCCTCAGATGAGACTTTGGACTTGAAATTTTGGGTTAATGCTGGAATGAACTAAGACTTTGTGGGACTGTTGGGAAGGCATGATTGGTTTTAAAATGTGAATAGGACATGAGATTTGGAAGGGACCAAGGGCAGAATTATATTGTTAGGCTTTATGTCCCACCCAAATCTCATCTTGAATTGTAATCCCCATAATCCCCACATCTCTAGGGAGAGAACAGGTGAAGGTAATTGAATCATGAGTGCAGTTTGCCACAGGTAGTTCTCATGATAGTGAATGAGTTCTCGTAAGATCTGATGGTTATATAAGGGGCTCTTTCTCCTTTGCTCAGCACTTCTTCTTTCTGCCACCTTGTGAAGAAGGTACCTTGCTTCCCCTTAGCCTCCTGCCATAATTAAACTGTGAGTCAATTGAAACTCTTTCCTTTATAAATTACCCAGTCTAGGGTAGTTCTTTATAACAGTAAGAAAATGAACTAATGCAGTATTTGTGTTTCTATATTAAGTTTTATATAAGGTATTAAATTTCTACAAAATTCTAAACTCAATTTGTAACCTGATTTAATGTGATTAGCCACTCTTACTATATGAAGTCTTCTAATCTGTGAACAGAGTACATCCCTTGATTGAAAAAAAGTGTCTTAAATTTCTCTCAATAGTATTTGAAATTTTAAGTTTAGAAGTCTTGTACTTCTTTTACTAGGTTTTTAGGTCTCTGTATTTTCAACACCATTATAAATATTATATTTTCAATTTCAATTTCTATGTGCTTTTGAATATAAGCATATGTTTTTTGGATATAAAAAAGATATCTACCTACCCTGATCAATTAACTTATTGATTCTCATCACTTGTAGTGAGAGTATTTTGCATACAGTTCAGCAATATTGTCTGTAAGTAATGATGAGGCTTTATTTGTTTGGTCTTGCTCAACTAAAGCTCCTTCAGGAAAGAATTTCTGTTTCTATCCCCCCATAGCACTGAATCCTGTGACTATATTATGTCTCAATAAACGAACAGATTCAGCGAATGTAACATTGCATCCAATGGGCTCTTCTTGCCTGCTGCCCAGATAGAGCTGATTTATTGAAGCAGGGGATTGCAAGGGAGAAAGAGTTTTACATAGAGAGCCAGCTAAATAGAAGTTCAAAGTTTTATTATTACTTAAATCAGCCTTCCTAAGAATTTGGAGGCTAGGGTTTTTCAAAGGTAGTTTGGAGGAAGAGGAGGGGTGGCTAAGCAATGGGTGCCTGCTGCTGATTGGTTGGGAGTGCAATCACAGGGGTATGAGAAATGGTCCTCATAAGCCTGAGTCATTTCTGGGTGGGGCCACAGGAGTGATTGGCACATGTAGGAGCCACTGGTCATCACACATGCAAAAAGCCTGAAAAGATATCTCAAAAGGCCAATTCTAGGTTGTATAATAGTGATGTTATCTGCAAGAGTAATTAAGGAAGTCGTAAGTCTTGCGACCTCCAGAATAATGGCTGGCAATTGTTTATGTCTACACTTTAGCAGAATTCCGGCTCCTCTATCCTCCTAGCCTAGTGATCTCTCATTAACTTTACAAAGGTGGTTGAGTTTTGGGGAAGGGCTATTATTATTTTAACTATAAATGTCTTCCAAAGTTAGCTTGACCCAAGCCCAGGAATGATTAAGGGAAGTCTGAAGAATAAAGGCAAGATGGGGGTTGGTTAAATCAGATCTCTTTCGCTGCCATAACGTTGCCACTGTATAATTTTTGCAAAGGTGGTTTCACAAAGATGGCACATTTCTATAACTAAGAGTGTGCCTTAAGAAATGTTCAGTATTAGTATATAAAATTTAAACAATTCCCAATTAGTAATTAGACTTGCACATCTTAAACCATGCCACTCTCCATTAACATGCCAACTTGCATGCATCCTCCACATGAACTCTGAATTGGGCTTAATGATGATGTTGTCTTTCTGTGACCACACAAGAGCTTCTCAGATCACACACACACACAAACACACACAAACATTAGCTTACTCTTTCTTACACTATGAATTAATAACAAGATATTTTAAAAGTGTGGATGACATTAAAATCTAAAAAAGAAATATCTCAATGTATCCATTTTAATACACTTCAATCATTTTTATTGATAAAGAAATCTTACTCTTAAATGTTACATATAATTGTTTGTTTTCTCATTCAGCTTAGTCAACAAGGTTTATAAATTTTTACTAAGAGATCCATTAATATAATTATATAATAAAAATTGATAAAAAATAATGGGATTGAATGAGATTTGGGAGAATGGTGTTATCATGATACCCTAGGAATATAGAATCAGTGATAAATCTTCAAGAAGAAAGAGTAAATTACCATTTAAACTAAGTCTTATTCAACTCGATGGAGGTGAAAATAAGGGGCAAAATATTATTAGACCGATAGTCAATGGCTTTTCTTGTTCATATTTTCTTGTAGTTGTTTTACCTTTTCAAAGCCAAGAAAGCTAAATCTCAAAACCCAAGTTTATTTGAAAAAAATGCATATTTCAGAATGCCCGCATATTAAATTAATGTGTGAAATGTAACTTAGACACACATTTCCCAAGGGAAAAATGTTTGCTGTCTTAAAAGATATATGCATGGAAATCCAAGTCATGGTTAAAAGCTCTTTAATACTCATGAGTTTGGATCCAGAGAAAGTAATCTTATGATTGAATTATTTAATAGCTATAAAATTTGATGCACCCTTTAAAATACTTGTCAATGTCTTTGAGAGAAGTTTCAGTTCAGGATTCAAAATATGGGGTCACAAAATTGGCACACCCACAAAATACTAATAATAACTAATTTTAAAACAACCCTGTATTAAAGGAAAAGGGAATCAATTTTTGATTATCTGTTATTGATTATTTAATACATTCTAAATGTTATACATTTATTAACACATCGAATATTTACAAAAATCCTGTTGCTTAAAATTATTATGAAACTCATTTCATAAACAAAGAAAAAGAAGTGAAAAGACGTTAAGTAGTTTTCTTAGTCACACAGATAGTTAAGTGCCAGAATTGGAATTCAAAGGTAAGGAACCTCTCTATCTACAGTGTTCTTTTTTTTTTTTTTTTTTTTTTTTTTTTGGAAGGGGCCTCGCACTGTCACCCAGGCTGGAGTGCAATGGCGCAATCTCGGCTCAATGCAACTTCCGCCTCCCGGGTTCACACGATTCTCCTGCCTCAGCCTCTCGAGTAGCTGAGATTACAGGCGCACACCACCACACTTGGCTAATTTTTTGTATTTTTAGTAGAGACGGGGTTTCACTATGTTGGCCAGGCTGGTCTTGAACTTCTGACCTCATGATCCGCCCTCCTCGGCCTCCCAAAGTGCTGGGATTACAGGCTTGAGCCACCGCGCCCGGCCGGATCTACAGTGTTCTTTACTCTAGTTGGTCCAGAGTTAATGTGCTTGGCCTTCATACTACCCACAGATTTAAATACAGAATTTTAATTTTTGGTGTAGTTTTGTTTTTCTCTCCTTAAAACAGGGTTTTTCAACATTGGCACTATTGCCAGGGACTGGCTGAGTCTCTGTTGTGAGTCGCTGTCCTGCACATTGTAGAATGTTTAGAAGTATCCTGGGCAACTACACATGACATGCCAGTAACACTTTCCCAATTACAACAACTGAAAATGGCCCCAGACATTGTCAAACACCCCTTTGAGGCAAAAAATCCTTCTTCTTGAAAATCACTGCCTTAAGCCAAACATTTTCTAGGCATTCATTTCCAAATTGATCTCTGCAGAACACAAATTTCAGATGTTAATAAATGCTGTCTGTATAAAATATGTTTGAAAAGGCCGGGTTAAACTATATTACACAAGTTTCCATAATGCTTGATTTCTGTAAAATGTTAGATGTTAATGGGGCCTACTTATAGTCACACACAGTGGAATGACTATGTGAAGTTTCCTCTAAACATAATTGCTAAGGATTGATTGATTGATGTGTGTTTGGTGTTTCGGCCATTAATTCTATTATAATAGTGGTCTATTGTAAATATTAGAAAAATCTAATAAAAGTGTGTGAAAACATTAAAGACTTTTGAGAAGGAAAATACCATAACATAAAATGCTAGAAAAGTCAAATTTGATAGACTGATAAGAAAATGTGTTGTATGAGGCAGCTGTGGTATCCCTAAAAACCACTATAAAGTCATTTTCTCCTGAATCAAGATTTTATTGGAAATGACTTGAATTGATCTGGCATTGAAGAAAATGGAAACAAAAATGATGAATCTTAGAGGCAGTTTATATTGTGGATAGAAACATATTGATTAATTACATCATGAGTTTTGAAAAAATTAGAAAAAAAGCATCAAGAAACATGAATGGCATAACGGAGATACATTTTTTAGTGGCAAAATGTGACGTGCAATTGAGAAAGAGGACAAGCAAAGTGTTGGATTTCAATCTAAATTGAAGGAGATTTGCCAAACCTGTTCTCCATGATCATCTCTATTACCTGTGTAATTTTTGAATGAATAGATAAGATGCCCTTTACAATTATGCTTTGGAGGGATTTATGTCTTTGCTAGATAGTGACAATAAGGGACTGTAACTTTTTGTATCGTATCACATCTTCATTTTTTCTTTTATTGAATGCTCAGGGGCAGATTTGTGGGCCAGTGCAAGTAGCAGTTGTTGCAGGATGATGATGGTAGAATGTTTACCCTTCTGTCCAGTGGCTGGTAAAAGAATTGAGTATTATAGACCAACTGCATACGGATCCCATACCCCTTTATAATTTATAAGTGCTATCAAAAGCATGACTTTTGAGCAATGAATTTCTACTTTACACACGATTTTATATTTTTTACAACAGTTCAACAATGTATGTCGTAGTGTATCGTTGCAAAAAATTTGACCTAAATACAGAATAATTTTCTCAGCATACAACAGCTAGTAAATGTTGTATCTGGTTACTTAGAGCACAAACTTTTTTAATACGTCATTCTGATCGACTAAGCCCATTTTTTTCATCTTTATCACGTGATCCTCAGAATACTTCTCAATTACTTCATAATCTGGACTCCTGGATTGGGAAGTTGGCATGACCATCGCTTGTCCTCGAGCAGGAGAAATAGCTCTTTCAGCACTGATGTTAGTTATTCCCCCTAGAGGTTGTAATGACAAAAAAAAAAAAAAAAAAAAAGGGGGATCCAGGGGGAACGGACTAGTCAAGATGGGCAACAGGCCAGAGTAGTTAAAGCACAGTAGTGCCAATAAAGCACACAGCTGGGTAAAGTCAAGAATGTCAAAGGCAAAAAAGCTTTATCTCAGCTTCGGAGTTACTGAGGGAGAGACTGATGCCTTACTCAGAACATCTATGCTTCCCTTGAAGAACTATCTGCCTTAGAATACCCTGTGTATTTTATTCTTCTTCTATGCCCATCTTCAGTGGCTTTCTTAACCTACAAGCAGTCTCCAAGCTTGACAGACTGGAAACCAAGCCAACGTGCAGTAGGGTGAGGCTGTCTGCACTTGAGGGCTCAGGTGTGCCTGCAGGAAGTCTTTGAGGTGAGAAAAATTGTTAAGAGATTACTACATTATATATTTGAAGAATCCAGGAAGTGTAAATAAAGGTCAAAAAGTAGGAATGACTTCTACCCATGTGAAATCACTGCTCTAGAATAGGTCAGAGATATAGATTTACCTTCCTCCAAAGGCGTCAGACTAATCTCTTCAAAAGTTGCTCAGAAGAGCTCTGGGAAGGGATTACCATTGCAAACTCACTTCTAGGCATATGTAACACCTATAGTGGAAACCTATGTATTGAAATCCCTGTTTTCTCTAAATATTACTCCCCGATATTAACTAAAAACTGTAATGTTAAAACTGATGAAGTTGATGATCATAAAGTTGATGATGATTTGAGTGCCTCCTGTATCTTGCTGTTACATATAGCATACACACTTAACAATATTAAGAGGGAAAAAAGGAATCTTAATTTTAGCCCTCTGTCCACTAGTTTGTATAAGATAATTCTTAAGAGAAGCCATGAGAGGTAATATCTTCACATGTGATAACTTGGGCACTCCAGACAGCCCCTGCTTTTGCATCACTGCTGTGTTTGGCTGATATGCCTAAGAGCATGGCTACTTCAGCATCTTAATTAACAATTTGCTTCCATTAAGTCCAAAGTATCTCCTAAATCTTAGATATTGTTCCAGGCGCTTTACATACGTTTGCTAGAATCTCTTAAGTATTATATAAAGTAATACAATTGCCAGTTTGTTTATACTCAAAGGGGTTTAGTAACCTGTCCAAATAGGTAGTAAATAACAGTTGTCATCTGACTTTCTCTGAATCTAGAGATGTAGCTACTGAGAGTTGAGTGCCTGTGTCTACACAGAGAAGTCAGATTATGACTACCCTAAGCCAGGCACTTTCATAAAAATAAATGGGGAAGAGTTATTTAAGAGGGAAGACCTGGCATGCCTAGGCAAGATAGAGACGCTGAAGACCACTGAAAGATTTGATGGTGGGTATCAAGAAAGAAAAAATAATTACGTGAGAGTGCCAAAGTGATGACATAGTTAGCATTCAATGATGAAGCAGACCAGAAGTTTATAACATATAAATCTGGGAAAGTGAAGGAGGTGTATAAAGACTGTTATTTTCTATAACTAGTATAGTATATAAATCACTAAATGTAGGATGAGAATATGTAAAATAACTCTCCTCTGTTCTTCATTTTGTATCTGCTCATCAAAAGTATACCAGATTGCACAATACTTGTCATCTCTGTAGAATGATACAGAATTAGTTATTTTATAATTAATTATGTCTATTAGGGGAAACAATGAAGTGTGATTGTATTTGTGGAGAAGGGTAGTTTGGAAAATGGATCATGTAAATTTTGGAAAAACTTTGAAATCAAATACGCTAGATAAACATTTTCTTGATGTTTTGTGCCCAGAGTAACTGGAATGGGGTGGCCATTATGAAGCTAAGTAGCAGGTCTCTAGGGCTTTGGCTGTAATGCCTATCTTCTCCAGTTCATGGTGATATCTGCCTATTTCCTACAGCTCATCTGATGTATTGTGGTAACTGAGCCCTGAGCACATAAATCTTTTATTCTCTTTCTATAACTTGGCATTGTGTTCTTTCTTTGTTTTTATAGAAAAACTTATCACTATCTCTTCCACACACCTCAAATTTATCATAACCAAACAGGAATTATCTGGCCCACTGGCTTCACCAAATTTCTAGGCAGGTCTTTGTTTGTTTTAATAAATGACAGGAAAAAGATTATCAAATAAATAAACCTATTCTGGATTTCTTTCTTTTTCTCACTCTTACCATATGATGATCCACATTACGGATGTTATTTTTTCTTCCCATGTAAATTTCATACCTATTCATTCCTCATAATACCCACTGTTAGATTTCACTTTCATCCACTTCTTTTAATGACTACAATAGTCTCCTAACAGGTTTACCTACCTTCTCTCTTGTCAGCCTTTAGACCACTGTTAACATTGATTGTATGTTGACATACATATATTATAAATCTGGTCAAGTTGTTTATTGTTACAATTAGGGCCTTGTGTCCTCTAAGATTATATCCGTGCTTCTCATATTTACACACAAGTTCCTTCAGAAATTCGGGTTCATTTCTTTTTAACCTTAGCTTCAAGAACCATATGAAGAGCCATCTATCCTA
The DNA here is from genome assembly GCF_000001405.40 of Homo sapiens. Taxonomy (NCBI): domain Eukaryota; kingdom Metazoa; phylum Chordata; class Mammalia; order Primates; family Hominidae; genus Homo; species Homo sapiens. The sequence continues at coordinate 10,471 of NW_025791794.1, forward strand.
TAGCTTTACTCAATTGTAGCTACTTACATTTGTAATACTCTCCAATGCCTTACTGTATTTACATGGATTTTAATCAGTACAGGATGTACATCACAGCCCTTTTATACCATCCCCCTAGTATTTGTCATTTGAGACCTAATTTAAGAATCTCCTTCAGTAAATCTTCCCTGACCTGCCTGGATGGGGTTAGTTGTCTCTTCTGTGTTTTAAATCATGTTTTTTTTTAAATATCAACTTCAAAATGTTTAACTTTTAATTTTAACTTTAGCTGTCTGTCCACTAGTTTGTACATATTTGATGGCATTTCTTATATATTTCTCTATTTTTTAACACTACCAGATTTCCTTTAATAAAATATGTTTTCATATTCAGTGGCGTGCACCTGTAGTTCTAGCTACTCAGAAGGCTGAGTTGGGAGGATTGCTTGAGAACAGGAGTTCGATGCTAGCCTGGGCAACATAGCAAGATCTCATCTCTAAAAAAATAATCTTGTAATCCAAGCACTTTGGAAGGCTGAGGTGGGGGGATCACGAAGCCAAGGGATTGAGACCATCCTGGCCAACATGGTGAAACATTGTCTCTACTAAAAATATAAAAATTAGCTAGGCATGGTGGCGCACGTCTATAGTCCCAGCTAGTCAGGAGGCTAAGGCAGGAGAATCACTTGAACCCCAGAGGTGGAGGTGACAGTGAGCCGAGATCACATCACTGCGCTCTAGCCTGGTGACAGAACGAGACTCCATCTAAAAAAACAAACAAACAAACAAACAAAAAACTCAATAAATGCAGTGAAGAAAACTAAATTAATCGGTAAAATAATAAATAACCGGTGGGGTAATTAAATATAATGAGCACAGACACGATCAAAATCATTAAACACAGAGCAGCATAAGTTAAAGTATTGTTTCTTGCTACAATTTTGACTTTTACCCTAATTTTCCATATTCTTGTTTCCTCACCTAGACTCTAGGTTCATCCATTAGCACAATGTCTGTCTTCAATACTTCTGCCTTATACCCTCGCTTCCTCCTAACGGGCCTCTCAGGCCTTGAAAGCAGATATGACTTGATTTCCCTGCCCATCTTCTTGGTTTATGCCACCTCAATTGCCGGGAACATTAGCATCCTCTTCATTATCAGAACTGAGTCTTCCCTCCACCAACCGATGTATTACTTTCTGTCAATGCTGGCATTCACTGACCTGGGCCTATCTAACACTACCTTACCTACCATGTTCAGTGTCTTCTGGTTCCATGCCCGGGAGATCTCCTTCAATGCTTGTCTGGTCCAAATGTACTTCATTCATGTTTTCTCGATTATTGAGTCAGCTGTACTCCTGGCTATGGCCTTTGACTGCTTTATAGCAATCTGAGAACCCTTGCGCTATGCAGCCATCCTAACCAATGATGTAATCATTGGGATTGGGTTGGCAATTGCTGGAAGGGCCTTGGCTCTGGTCTTTCCAGCTTCTTTCCTCTTGAAGAGGCTTCAATATCATGATGTCAATATTCTGTCCTACCCCTTCTGCCTGCACCAGGACCTCATAAAGACGACTGTATCCAACTGTCGAGTCAGCAGCATCTATGGCCTCATGGTGGTCATCTGTTCCATGGGACTTGATTCAGTGCTTCTCCTCCTCTCCTATGTCCTCATCCTGGGCACAGTGTTGAGTATAGCCTCCAAGGCAGAGAGAGTGAGAGCCCTCAATACTTGCATCTCCCACATCTGTGCTGTACTCACCTTCTATACACCAATGATTGGGCTATCTATGATCCATCGCTATGGACAGAATGCTTCCTCAATTGTCCATGTGCTGATGGCCAATGTCTACTTGCTGGTTCCACCTCTCATGAACCCCGTTGTCTACAGTGTTAAGACCAAGCAGATTCGTGACAGAATCTTCAATAAATTCAAGAAACATGAAGTGTAGATGACAGAGATTCTGAAACATAACTTTCCCTCCATTCCCCATATATTTGTGAGAAGATTTCATATAATGTTGAATTTTAAATTCACATGTTACCAATGATATTTTGACTTTAAGATACTAGACCTAAACCTAAATAATTATAAATCTGTATATTTTCCAATATAGAGAATAAAAGTGTGGTTCTATTTTACGGTGAAGTTATTCATTGTACACTGTGAAGGTCCTCAATATATCTGAGAAAGATTTAGATTTCAAAAGTTTTCCTATGCCTTTTAACCTAATATAAAAAAATTTAAATGCAAGTTGTGATCCTCTGTTCAGGGAAAAAAAATATTTCCAGCAGGAGAACCTCATACCAAAAAGAGATGATGAACGAATAAAACTTAGCAGACTTTTAGAAGTGTAGAATAAAGAAACGTTGGACCAAATTAATTGGACCGATTGGAATAAAGCAGAAACAGTGATGATTTTGTATGTAGGAATCTACAGAGGGCTTTCTATGAGGAGTAGAGAACCTATGAGATCTAGACTGCTGTCTATTTTTTCTACCTGGGTTTTCAGTACATTTCTCAATTATTTATGACAGTCTCAAGTCATTCTACACCTTAAAATGTGTTCCTTATAAGCTGAGCAAGAAGGAATACAGTTTATTTCCCATGTTCCTGTACACACACTGTCCTGATCATCCTTTTCTGTGTTCCCAATGGCATTCTGCACTGAAATGCTTAACATGTTTTTTAGAGATTATAGTCTTCATCTTTAATTATAAGATTCATATAGATACAGATTTTAATTACTAGAAAATTCTGAGATGTTATGCTAAGAAGGCTTTGTTTTCAATTAAAATGATCAGCTGAAATATCCGTTTTTAATTTATATAGCACAAGAAAGTATCCTCAAAGAATTGTATATACTCTTTAGTTCAACTTCATCACCTCCCTCTCAAACCTGAATCTGCTGTGGTCTGATTTTCATCTTCATGATTCCACTGATTTGCAGTTTATGATGTTTCTAGTGCTCTACTTTTTACTAAATTCAACATTCACATCTTGATTAAGCTTCCATTTTCCTTTGCATTATTAACCATGCTTTTCTTTTAAAGTAACCTTATTTTCAGTTGTTTTACATTTACAGAAAAAGTTAAATATGGTACAGAGTTCTCAAATATCCTGCACTCAATTTCCCCTATTGTTACCATCTTACATCAGTAGAATACACTTTTGACAATTGGTGAATCAACAATGGTAATGTATTAACCACAGTTGCATATTATTCAGAACTTTTTTAGTTTTTCTCCTAGTATTCTTCTTGTACTCCAAGATCCAATCCAGGATATAACATTGCATTAGCCATCATGTCTATTTAGACTACTCTTAATTGTAAAAGTTTCTCAGTCTTCTTTCATTGTCTTCAATTACTTTGGCATTTTTGAGGACTACTAACAGGCAGTTTGTAAAGTGTTCCTCTATCAGGATTTTTCTGATGCTTTTCTCATTATTAGAGTAGGTTATAAGACCATAGAGGAATAATACCATTTTATTGCATCATATCAATAATACATATTAGCAACATGACATCACTGTTGATGATGACTTTATTCATGACTAGGGTAGTATTTGTCATGTTTCTCCACTGTCAACTTAATCTTTTTTCTTTTTAAAAGTCCCTCTTTTCATACTGTACTTTTTTAAAGGAAGTCACTTTGCAAAGCCTACACTGAAAGAGTGGGAAACCATGAGGACAGATATCTACTTGAAATTATTGTGTGAGATTTTTCCCTTTCTTCTAATTTACTCGATCCTTTATTTATATTAATAATGACTTCTGGATATTTATTTTATACCTTGGATTGTAATCCAAACCTGAACTCATCTATTTTGGTAATTTTTGTTTTTTAATTACTAATTCAATATCTTTATTTGTACAGGTCCATTCAGATTTTCTACTTACTGAAGTCAGGTTCAGTAGCTAGCATCTTTCTAGGAATTTCTTCATCTTATCTAAGTATTATATGATTTTTATAGTATTCCTTTGGATTTTTAATTTCTATAATGTTTGTAATAATGCCTTCCCTTAATTAATTTTTCTAGTAATTTAATTTTCCCTTTTTTTCCGAGTCAATGTAAAACCAAAAGTTTTGATTTTATTAATTTTGTTTTTGCTTTTCTATCCTCTATTTTATTAATTCCTGGTCTAATCTTTAAAGTTCACTTCCTTCCATGTGTGTAGTTTGCTCTTCTTTTGTGAGTGTTAAGTTGGAAGTTTAGGATATTGATTCGATATCTTTATTCTTCCTTAACACAAGCATTTGCAATGATAAATTTCACTGTAAAAACTGCTTTGGAGGCATACTATGAATTTTGACATGTTTTGCCACTATTTTTATTAAAACAAAAGTTTGAATTATGAAAGTGTCAAAGTATTATTTCCTCACAGTTTGGTTGACTCATTGATTACTGTGGTGGTGTGGTGCTTACTTTTGACATATTTGTGAGTTTCTGAAATTGATTTTTGCTACTGATTTTTAATCTTATCCCATTGTGGTCAAAGAATATACTTTATTCTTATTTATTAATTATTTATGTCATTTTATATATATTGCAATTTTATTATGGTGTAGCATACGGTCTATCCTGGAGAATGTTCCCTGTGCACTTACAGAAAATGTATATTCTATTGTTGAATGAAGTGCTATATAGCGTTGTTCATGTTTCTACTTCTTTGTTGATATTCTGTCTAGTTATTCTATCTATTTTTGTCTATTATTGAAATCTATTTTTATCCAGTAAAGTCTTTGGCCTGGGCATGGTGGCTCATGCCTGTAATCCCAACATTTTGGGAGGCCAAAGTGGGAGGATATCATAAGGCTAGGAGTTCAAGACCAGCTGGGCAACATAGCAAGACCCTGCCTCCACAAAAAATAAAGAAAAAAAATTATAAAAATTGCTTGGCGTGGTAGCAGATGCCTATAGTCCCAGCTGCTCAGGAGGTTAAGGCAAGAAAATTCCTTGAGCCTGGGAGTTTGAGGCTGCAGCGAACTACAGTTGCACCACTGCACTCCAGCCTGGGTGAAAGAGTGATACCCTGCCTCTCAATAAATAAATACGTAAATAAATAAATAAAATTTTTAAAAAGTCGACTATTATTTTTGAATTATTTCTTCCTTCATTTATGTCCATTTTTGTTTCATATGTTTTGCTGCTCTGCTAATACCTGCATATATGTTTATAATTGTTATACTGTCCTGTACTTTCCCGATGAGTTGACATTTATATCACTGGAAAATGACCCGCTTTATCTCCAGTATCACTTATGTTTGTTTTAAACTCTATTTTGTCTGATATTAGAATAGCCAGTCCAGCTTTCTTGTGTTTGCTATTTGCATGATATATACTTTTTCATTCTTTTGCTTTCAATCAGCTTGTATCTTTAATTCTAAAGCTGTATCTTGTAGAAAGTGTGGAGTTGGATAATTTTTTTCAGCTGTATATAATTGACAAGCATTATGCATACACCAGGCGTACAATGTGATGATTTAGTAGATGCATATATGTTGTAATTATTACTACAATCAAATTGACTAACACAACCACCACCACACATTTGTGTGTGTGTGTGTGTGTGTGTGTGTGTGTGTGTGTGTTGAGGACACAAGATCTACTCTGTTAGCAAGTTTTAAGTAGATAATAATGTATTATTAACCATAGCTACCATGATATACACTAGATCCTCAAAACTTTTTAAACTTAATAACCGAAAATTTCTACCTTTTGACCAACACCTCCTCATTTCCCCCACCCCTTAAGTCCCTGGGAACCACTGTTCTGCTCTCCAGTTCTGTGAGTTTGAATTTTTTGCATTTCATATATAAGTGAGACCTTATTGTATTTGTCTTTATATGTCTGGCTTGTTTCACTTAGCAAAATGTCCTCCAGGTTCATTTATGTTGTCACAAGGATTCCCCCCTTTATTATGGCAGAATAGTATCCCATTGTGTATATATATGACTTTTTAAAAACCATTCTTCTGTATATGAACATTTGTGTTGTTTTCATATATTGGCTATTGTAAGTAATTCTGCAATGAACATATGGGGTGCAAATATCTTTTTGAAATACTGATTTTATTTCCTGTGGATGTATACCTAGAAGTGGAATTACTGGATTGTATGGTAGTTTCATTTTTCAGTTTTTCTAATATCTTCACACTGTTTTCCCGAATGACTCTACCAATTTGTATTCCTATCAACAGTGTAAAGGGTTCCTTTTTTTCCAAACTTTTGCCAACTCTTCTTATGTCTTGTCATTTTGATAATGGCCATCCTAATAGATATGAGGCAATATTTTGCTGTGGTTTTGATTTACACTTCTCTGATAATTAATAATATTGAAAACCTTTTCTTATGCCTGTTGGTCATTTATTTCTCTTCTTTGGACAAAAAATGACTATCTGATACCACTCTCTCCTGGCCTGCAAGCTTTCTGCTGAGAATTTTGCTGATAACCTCGTAGACATTTCTTTGTAAGTGGCAAGTCTCTTTTCGTGTGCTGCTTTCAAGATTCTCTCTTTTTATTTGGCCTTTGACAGTTTGATTATCATATTTTGGGGTGTTCTTCTTTTGTTAGATTTTATGAGAGGTCATCTGAGCTTTGCTAATTTGGATGCCTGTGTCTCTCCCAACATCTGGAACATTTTCAGACACTATTTACCAATGCTTTTTTGTCCCTTTCTTTCTCTCTTCTCATTCTGGGAATCTCATAATTCGTATGTTTGTTTGCTTGGTGGTTCCCATAGGTTCTTTATGCTTTCTTAACAGTTTTTTAAAATCATTATTTCTTTTTGTTCCTTTAATTTATTAATGTTATATGACTTTCTTCATGGTCAATAATTTTTTTCTTGGTATTATTGAGTTGGCTGTTGAAGATATCTATTGTATTTTTCAGTTCTTTTATTGTATTCTTTGACTCTAGGTTTTCTGTTTAGTTCTTTTTTATGGTTTCTATTTCTTTATTAAACTTCTTGTTTGTTGCTGTATTGTTTCTTCGTTGTGTTTAGTTGTTTATCTGTGTTCTCTTGCATTTCATCAACCCTCTTTAAGCTGATTATTTTGAGTTATTTGTCAGGTAATTTGTCAATCGCCATTGCTTTGGGGTCAATAACTGAAGTTTTAGTAGTTTTCTTTGGTGGTGTTATGCTTGCTTAATTCTTTGTTGTGCAGGTAGCCTTGCATTGGTGTCTGCACATTTGAAGGAGAAAACATCTCTTCTAGACTTTGTTGACTGATTTTGAAAGTAAAGACCTTCTTTTGTTGGTTGTCCAGGCTGATGAAGTTGCCTGTAAGATCTGAGTTGAGTTAGTGTGGAATTGAGTTATGTTGCTGCTGCTGAGTCTACAGTGCAATCTGTGATTAGTGGGTGTATTATGAGGGGCTAAAGCGAGTGTGGCCTCTGTCTTGTTTTTGGATGGACTAGATAATACCAGGAAATTGGTCAGTAGAGCTGGCACTGAAATAAGGTTTGTTTCAAGGTCCACAGCTAGCTCTTCAGGTGGCAGGTATGTTACCAGGTGTGCAGTCAAGTCTGGCTTCCTCTAGGTCCCTGGGAGGGCTCCCTCTATGTCATTGGCTATGCACATGGCTTGGCTGGAATGGCCCTCAACTGTCACTGAGAGGGATTGAAACTAAATCACAAGGCTGCTTCAAGGTCCACAGCCAAGGCCAAGGTCAGCAGGCCTGCCTCCAGAGGCACAGATGGTCATGCCTCCCTCAATGTTCCTGGGCAGACAGGATTATCCCTAGAATGTGTCTCAGTGGGGCAGAAGCTGGATCACAGGAGGGCTTCAAGATCTGTGGTCAGAATGTTATTATTTAGGCCTGCCTCAAGACGCATGAATGGACTTCTCTCCCTACAGGTCCCTGTGCAGGAATGACTACTCTCAGACCATAGATGACAAAGACTGGAGATGAGTTACATGGTTACTTCAAAGCTGAAAACAAGGCCTTTTACCCAAGGCATGGACGGACATGACTTCTTCCAGTCCCTTGGCGGATAGTTATATTTGAAGGACTGAGGGCAAACTCAGGTTGTAGCTGAGTCTATAGTGGGATGAATCATTTCCAGGCCTCTGTCCAGGACTCTGTTCAGCAAGACTGTCACCTAAATGCAGGCCTGTCAGCTCAAAATAGCTCTCCTCAATTTAGGGCTCCAATAGAGTTTTGCAACCTCCTACCTTAATCCAAAAGCTTTTACAAAGGAGCTTTTGTATATACAAATTGCTTCCAAATTCTTGTTGCTATGTGGCATATAAGTAGGATATCTCCTTTTCTGCCATTTTGCTTGCAATCGTACTTAATTTTCAAGTCTGACAAACTCAGTTTTTTGAATTGTGAATCCATTTGTATTTAGTGTTATTGATATAGTTGGATTTACATCTGCAATTTTACTTTTTGCTCTTTATATGTCTCATTTTTGTATGTTTCTCTATTCCTTCTCTTCTGCTTTCTTTTGTTCTAAAATAATACTGTCTTAAGATTTAATTTATTTAACTATTTTTGTTATATATTACTGATGTTTTCCTTAATGGTTGTCCATAGCTTACATCTCCTCTGAAAAGAATCAGTTTTAGATTTATACCAGCTTAATTCTAGTGATACACCTGTACTTTAGAGATACTTCATTTGGTTCAAGATCACCAAAATGAAGTGAATACTGCAATTAAGAAAGTCATAAAAAATCTTTTGGTTTCCTATATATATAAAAGTTATGCATACACTATTTTATAGTCTCTTAATGGTGAAATGGTACTATGTCTAAAAAAAATCTACAATTTAGAAAAATAATGTATTACTAAAAATACTAGCAAATATCTGAGTCTTCAGAAATAATAACATTTTTGCTGGTAGAAGGTCCTACCCTGATGTTGATGGCTGAACAGGATGGTGGTTGCTGAAGGCTAGGGTGGTGGTGGCAACTTCTGAAAATAAGACAATAAAATTTGCCACATCAATCGACTGTTCCTTTCATGAAAGTTTTCTCTGTAGCATGTAATGCTGTTTTACAGCATTTTACCTAGAGTAGAAATTTCAAAACTGGAGTCAGCCTGCTAAAACATAGCTGCTGCTTTATTAAGTTTATAAAATTCTAAATCCTTTGTTGTTACTTAGAAAAATGTTCAAAGTATCTTTACCAGGCATAGATTCCATTTCTAGAAACCACTTTCTTTGCTGACCTATAAAAACAACTCCTTGTCTCTTAAATCTTTATCACAATATTGCAGCAACTCAGTCACATCTTTAGGTTCCCTGTTCTTGTTATTTTTAGGTCTCTTGTTATCTCCATCACATCTGCAGTTACTTTCTCCAATGAAGCCTTGAGTCCCTAAAAGTTATCCATGAGGGTGGAAATCAACTTCTTCCAAACTCCTGATAATGTTGATATTTTGACCTTGTCCCATAAATCACAAATGTTCTTAATGGCATCTACAATGATGAATCCTTTCCAGAAGATTTTCAATTTACTTTCCCCAGATCCATCAGAGGAATCACTGTCTATGGTAGCTATGACTTTACAAAATGTGTTTCTTATATATTATGACTTGAAAGGGGGTTGGTCAAGACGGCCAGCTAGGAACAGTTAGTGAGCACTGCTTTCACATAGAGAAATGGAAGGGGTGAGTAAATACAGCACCTTCAACTGAAACATCCAGGTACACACATTGGGACTCATCAAGGAGACAACTAGCCCCATGGAGAATGGAGAAAAGCAAGTCAGAACAACTGCTCACTCAATAGCAACATGGAGCCAGGGGAACCTCCTGGCTATGTGGTGGGAAGTGGTAAGTGAGTGAGTAACCCCAGGGACTCACGCTTCTTCCACCAGTCTTTGCAACTCTCTGGTCAGGAGATCCCCTTATGAACCCACCCCACCAGGACCTGCGGTCTGACACACAGAGCTATATGGAGTCTCAGCAGACCAGCTGCTCTGGCACATGTGGAGCCCTGGGAGCCTTAGATACCCAGGCTTTCCTGAAAAATCAGCTACTATTCTGGCAAACCAGGAGGTTAGAAGCCCGTGCATACCCCTAGGAAAGAGGCTGGAATCCAGGGGGCTGAGCAGCAATGGGCTGTGGGCCCCACTTAAAAAACACCTTGCAGGATAAGACCCACTGGCTTGGGAATCCAGCCAGTCACTTGTAGCAGCAGTTACCCACCCCTGAGATGGAGCTCTAACAGGGAGGGGTGGCCTGCCATCTTTGCTGTTTCACAGCCTTAGCCATCCTTGCCTTTGGGGTCTAGGGAGTCTGAGGGGACTAAGGGCTGAAGCAGTGCCCTGGCAGAGCCAGCAGCTCTACGGAGAAGTGGTCAGACTGCTTATTCATGTAGATCCTGGATCCTATTTCTCTTCACTGGATGGAATCTTCTGACTGGGGTATCCAGTCAACCCTACAGTTGTTTTCCAGATGACAGAAGTTTCAAATCTCCCTAGGATGGAGCTTCTAGAAGTGGGGGGTGGGCTGCCATCTTTACTGTTTGGCAGTCTTAGCCATTCTTGCCTTTGGGCCTTGGGCAGTACAAGGCGTCTGGGGGCTGGAGCAAACCACCAGCACAGCGCAGCTGCTCAAAAAAGCAGCCAGGCTGTTATTTTACACAGGGTCCCGATCCCGTTCCTTCTCAATGGGTGGGATCTCCAGACCCGGGTGTCCGGCCACATCCTGCAAGTGTGTTTGGACTTGCAACATGTCCATACCTCCCTAGAGTGGAGGTCCTAGAGGGAGGAGAAGCCACCATGTTTGCTGTTTTGCAGCCTTTACTGTTGATACCTTCAGGTACTAGAAAACCCAGAGTTACTAGGGACAGGAGCAGATCCCCAGCAAACCACAGCAGCCCTACAGAAAAGTGGCCAGACTGCTTATTACATGGGTCCCCAATCCCATATCTCCACACTGGGTGGAACCTCCAGGCCTGGTTCTCCAGCCACCCTATGCTAGTGCTGTCAAGCCAGTAGCATCTCTGCAACTCCCTGGGACAGAGCTTCCAGTGGGAGGTTGCCATCTTTGTTGTCTTGCATCTTGTACCCTTGCTGTATCCAGGCTATGGAGAATCCATGGGGACTAGGGGCTGGTCCAGACCCCCAGCATAAGCCAACCACCTCAAAGAAAAATGGCCAAACTTTTCTCTACGCAGGTGTTAGTTCTCACCTATCCTCACTGGGCAAGGCTTCCTGACCTGGGACTCCAGAATAAGAACGCTGCTCTGACCTGATTACCTCAATCAGTGGCAGACTGGAATTTCTGAGGAGGAAATCCCAGAATCACCCCACAATCCCTCCGCTACTACGGTTGCAGTGATACCCCACTAACAGCCCTTGGGCTGGGGAAGGAACAAAGGGCCTAGTCACTATGCTGGCACTGCTAGTACACTGTATGGAGAGGAGTCCAGTCTTTTTTGTTTCTGGCAACACCCACTCCCCACTCTTCACCTGGCAGAGCCCCCAGCTCATGACTGCAAAACAGTTGTCCCCACCCGCAGCTGAGAATACCCACTGGTAGGCTTGGAGTTTACCTGGAGAGAGGCTCACAGAGGCATCTAACAGTCCCTCTGCCACTGCCACAACAGTGATTCTATCCCTTCTTCCCTGTTTCTTGCGAGGAGACAAAGAGTCTTGGGGCTATACCTGAACTTACAGCACACCACAGTCACCATACAGAGACACCAGTCTCTCCTCCCAGTGACCCCCAATACCCTGCTTCCCAACAAGTGGAGCCTGAAGCTTATGCCAGCAGTGCAGCTACCCCACCCCACCAGCTGAACACTCCCAGTAACAGCAGCTCTGCATTTCTTGGAGGTGGAGCTCCCTGGGGCAACCGTAAGCCTCTCTGCCAGTCTCCGCAGTAATAGTACCCCTGCTACCCTCAGACTAATGAAGGTGCAAAGACGCTTAGTGCCTTATCCACAACTCCAGCAATCTGCAGTTGACCCAAGGAGAAAAAGCCAGTCCATCTCCCATGAACCCCAACCACCTCCCTGCTCATCACTAGGCAGGGAGTCCCTGGCTTGGGCCCACAGCACAGACCACCCATCCCAGGCTGATTGCACTGAGCAATTGCTGACCTGCTTCTCTCTGGGATGGAGCCTCCAGGAGACAGGCAAAAGACCCTCAGCCACAACCACTACTAAGGTCCTTGCCCCTGATGCCTCCAAGTTGGGAGGAAACATAAACCCTGAGATCACCCAAGAGCAGCAGGGGGCAGCCTCAGAGTGCCAAGCTGCGATTTACAGCCAGCACTCAAGTGGAAGAGGAGCCCACACTTTCAGAGCATTGAGAAGGAGCACAGCTGCAGCTGTGAGGAAACATAGGAGAGCCACACAGATGAGCAAGAATCTACCAACTGACCATTACACTTAAGAATCACCTACTGGAATCACAACACAAAGCTTAAACACCAAAATAGCTCACTAACATACCCCCCTGTAAAACCAAAGACAGGAAGTATGCTACAAATGAAGACTCTGCACAAAGCCTCAACCCTCTGGAAACATCGAGAAAATAATTATACTGACTGTACTCAACCTATATTGCAGTTAAAGGGACACCTACACACAGAGATGGGAAAGAATCAATGTAAGAACTCTAGCTACTCAAATGGCCAGTGTCTTATATCCTCTAAGCAATCACACATGTTCTCCAACTAGGGTCCTTCACCAGGCCAAGTTGGCTAAAATGACATAAATGGAATTTTGAATGTCGATAGGAATTAAGATCATCAACATTCAGGAGAAAGGCAAAACCCAATCCAAGGAAAATAAGAATTACAAGAAAAGAATACAGGAGCTGACAGATTAAATATCCAGTTTTTTTTAAAAAAAAACTAAATCATCTGTTAGAGTAGAGAAACACATTGCAAGAATTTCATAATGCAAATGCAAGTATTATGAACATAATAGACCAAGTTGAGGAAAGAATCACAGAACTTGAACACTGGCTTTCTGAAATAAGGAAGTTAGAGAAAAAAAAAGAAAGAATGAAAAGAAATGAACAAAGTCTCTGAGACTCTGAGAAATATGGCACTATGTAAAGAGGCCAAATGTACAAATCACTGGCATTCCTGAAAGGGATATCTAGGAAGCAAAAACCTGGAAAATATATTTCAGGTTATCATCCATGAAAACTTCTGTGACCTCACTAGAGAGGTGAACAGTCAAATTCAGGAAATACAGAGCATCCTTGCAAGATTCTACACAAGATTATCCCTAAGAAACATAATCATCATATTTTCCAAGATTGAAATGAAAGAAAGAATGTTAAAGGCAGCTAGAGAGAAAGGGCAGGTAACCTACAAATGAACCCCTATTATGCCAACAGTGAACCACTCAGCAGAAACCCTACAAGCCAGAAGAGATTGGGGGCCTATATTCAACATTTTTAAAGAAAAACATCTTCAACCAATAATTTCATTTCCAGACAAACTCATCTTCCTGGCAAAGGAGAAATAAAATCATTTTCAGATAAGCAAATGTGGAGAGAGTTTGTTATTAACAGACCCACCTTACAAGAGATCTTAAAAGCAGCACTAAATATAGAAAGCAAAGGCCATTATCAGATAATGCAAAAACACACTCAAGTACTCAGACCAGGGACACTATAAAGCAAACACATAAACAAGGCTGCATAATAACAAGCTAAGAACACAATGACTGGTAGAAATTCACACATATCAATACTAACCTTGAATGTAAGTGGGCTACGTGCTCCATTGAAAAGGAAGAGACTAGCAAGCTGTATTAAAAAAAAAAAAAAAAAAAGCAAGACCCAGTGGTATGCTGTCTTCAAGAGACCCATCTCCCAGGCAATGACACCCATAGGCTCAAAATAAAGGGATGGAGGAAAATCTACCAAGCAAATGGATATCAGAACAAAGCAAGAGTGGCCAACCTAATTTCAGTCAAAACACGCTTTAAACCAACAAAGATGTGAAAAAAAAAAAAAGACAAAGAAAGTCATTACATAATGATAAAGGGTTCAATTCAAAAAGAAGACTGAGCTATTCTTAATATACATGTACCCAACACAGGAGCACCAAAATTCATAAAGCAAGTTCTCAGAAAATTACAAAGAGACTTAGACTTTCATACAATAACAGTGGGAGACTGCATCACTCTACTGACATTATTAGACAGATCACTGATGCAAAAAATTAACAAAAATTTTTAAGACTTGAATGCAACATTGGACCAAATGGATCTGATAGGCCTCTATAGAACTCTCTACCCCAAAACAAAATAATATACCTTCTTCTTATTGCCACATAGCACATACTCTAAAATCAACTCCACAATTGGACATAAAAGAATTCTCAAAAAAAGTCAAAAGTACCAAAATCATACCAAACACCCTTTTGGACTACAGCGCAATAAAAACAGTAGTCAAGACTAAAAAAATTGCTCAAAACCATGCAATTACATGAAAATTAGACAATCTGATCCTGAATGATTTTTGGGTAAATAATGAAATTAAGACAGAACTCAAGAAGTTCTTTGAAACTAATGAAAACAAATATACAACATACCAGAATCTCTGGGGCATGGTTAAGACAGTGTTAAGGGGGAAATTTACGGCATTAAATGCCCACATCAAAAAGTTAAAAAGATCTCAGATGAATAACCTAACATCACAATTGAAAGAATTAAAGAACCATGAGCAAACCAACCCCAAAGCTAGCGGAAGACAAGAAATCATCAAAATCAGAGCTGAACTGAAGGAAATTGAGACACGATATACCATTCAAAAGATCAATGAATCCAGGATTTGTCTTTTTGTTTAATTAATAAAATAAGCCACTAGCTAGACTAATGAAGAAAAAGGGAAGACCCAAATAAACATAATAACAAAGGGGATGTTACCACTGACCGCACAGAAATAAAAATAAACATCAGAAGCTACTATGAACACCTCTGTGCACACAACTAGAAAACCTAGAAGAGAAGGATAAATTCCTAGATACCTATACCTTTCCAACACTGAGCCAGGAAGAATTGATTCCTTGAACAGACCAATAAAGAGCTTGAAAATTGAGTGGGTAAAAATGGCCTACCAACCCCTAAAAAACCCAGGACCAGATGGATTGACAGCAGAATTCTAAAATATGTACAAAAAAGAGGTGGTATCATTCCTATTGAAACTACTCCAAAGAGTTGAAGAAGAGGGACTGCTCCCCAACTCATTCTATGAGGCTAGGACTATCTTGATACCAAAAACTGGTGGAGGTCAGGCTCAGTGGCTCACACCTGTAATCCTAGCAATTTGGGAAGCCAAGGCAAGGGGATCACTTAATGTCAGGAGTTCAAGACCAGCCTGGCCAACATGATGAAACCCTGTCTCTATTAAAAATACAAAAATTAGCAGGGTATGGTGGTGCACACCTGTAGTCCCAGCTACTCTGGAGGCTGAGGTGGGAGAATCACTTGAACCCAAGAGGCAGAAGTTGCAGTGAGCCAAGGTGGCACTGCTGCACTCCAGCCTGGGCAACAGAGCAAGACTCTGTCTCAAAAAAAATACATAAAATAAATGAATAAATCATGATATTCTCTTTTATTTCTTTCAAAGCTGCCTTGAGTATTCTAGATCTTTGCATTCCACATCAAGTTATCAAATTCTGTAAGTTCAATCTATAAGTCAAATTCTGTCAGTTCTATA
Organism: Homo sapiens; assembly: GCF_000001405.40. Taxonomy (NCBI): domain Eukaryota; kingdom Metazoa; phylum Chordata; class Mammalia; order Primates; family Hominidae; genus Homo; species Homo sapiens. The sequence goes on from NW_025791794.1 coordinate 26,091, forward strand.
AGTCATATTCTATAGGTTCAATCAAGCTGTCAAATTCTATAAAGCTTACCAAGATTTTCATTAGAATTGTTTTGAACTGCTAAATTAATTTGGGAAGATTGACATCTTGACACAGTAATACAATCAATGGACATAGTATATCCATCTATTTATCCACATGTCTTTGGAATTCCCTGTAATGTTCCCATGTTTCCAGGGTCAATATATTGAAAGTATTTGGTTAGTTTTTACATATTTGATTTTTATGCTATATAAATTATATTTTATTTTAATTTATTTTTAACTCTCATTTTATACTTAGGAATACATGTACAGGTTTATTATATAGGTAAATTGTATGTCACAGGGCTGTGGTGTACAGATTATTTCACCATCCAAGTAATAACCATAGTACCCAATAGGTAGTTTTTCAGTCCTCACCCTCCTCCCTCACTCTACCTTTAAGTAAATTCCAGTGTCTCGTTAGCTTCTTTGTGTTCATATGCACTCAATGTTTAGCTCCAACTTTTAAGTGAGAACATTTGTTATTTGGTTTTCTGTTTCTGCGTTAGTTCACTTAGGATAATGGACTCCGTCTTCATCCATGTTGCTGGAAAGGACATAATCTCATTCTTTTTTATGACTGCATAGTATTCTATAGTATGTATGTAGCACATTTTCTTTATCCATCTACCATTTATGGGCATTTAGGTTGATTCCATTCTTTGCTATCGTGAATACTGCTGCGATGTACACATGTGCATGTGTCTTTATGGTAGAACAATTTATATTCATTTGGGTATATGTTGGGATTCACTCAGGATGGCGGCAGGAATATTGAAGGGAAATATTAGGGAATGTTATAAGGAATAGTCATGAACCTTTTTGGAAGGCCAAAAGGTTACATAGCTTGTAATAATTGAACAGGCTGAAGGCAGCCGGTTCTTACCTTAGAGCATTAGGTCATACGGTAAATGCTAGGGACAATAGAGGCTTCCCCAGTTAAGTCTGGTTACCCTACCTCCATTAACTAACCTTTGAGCCAGATGGCCCTCTGGGTGGGAGGTCAGCCAGGGAAACTGCCCCCCTGGTGGTATTTACTTCAGACCACCTTAGCTGAGCTTTAATCATTCCTAGAACTACTCTCTTAACCATGTTAATTATCCACAAGTGTGTTGACTCAGAGCTTCTGTTGTTAATTGTATACTAAATAAATGTCTGGAGTGCAAGCTTCTCAAGGCCAGCCGCAGTGACAAACCTCTCTTGGTGTGCAGGTGGTCGGACATTCAGCAGGACTGGCATAACAGATTATCTGTGTGTCAATGTACATTTTATTCATCCATCGTTTGGGTCAGGGTCTGCAGGCAGACCCCTGCAGCTAATGCCCTCTTGTGAGGAGCAATTCCTCAGATATATACCTAATAATGCAATTACTTGGTAAATTGTATTTTCAAATTAATTTCTACATTGTTTTTAAGAATATTAAAATTGAATGTGTTTTTGAATATTACTCAGAATTTTTTAAAAATACAAATATTTTGAATATCTTATATACACAATCATATAAGTAAATAGAGACTTTTACTTTATTCTTTCAAATTCTCATCTTTTTTTCTATAATTTTTCTTACTGTATTATACTCTTTTGGGCATATAGTGCAGTTCTGAATAGAAGTATTTATAAGACATCTTTGACTTTACCTGACCTTATAGGAGAAATATTGAATATGTTTTCATTAATATAATTTTAGCTGTATTATTTTTATGTGTATCTGTAAAATTAGGGTAGTTACATCTGTTTCTAGTTTACTCAGAAATCTTACAAAATAGTAGTGGTGGAGGGAATGGAAATGGTTAATGGGTACAATAATATAGTTAGAATGAATAAGATCTACTATTTCATAGCACAAGATGATTACAGTCAACAATTATTTATTATACACTTAAAAGTAAATAAAAGAATTGGAATGTTTGTAACACAAATAAATGATAATGCTTGAGGTGATGCATACTCCATTTACCACACTGTGATTATTATGCATTGTATGCCTGTATCCAAATATACATAAAAATATACACCTATGATGTACCAAAAATTAAAAGTAAAATGTTAGTATAAAAATTTTATTAAAAGGATAAAAATGTTTAAATTTTATATATTAAGGTGATCATCTTTTTCTATCTTTGGCAGTGTGAAGAAGTATATCTATAATTTTTTAAAACAAATTATGTACTAGAATAGCCTTCATTTGTTTGCAATGTGTTATTCTCTTGATACAACATTGTATTCTATTTGATAATTTTTAAGGGTATTTATATCTGTGCTTATAAAACACGTTAGTCTTTAATTACCTTTCCTCAGAATATAATTGACTGGTTCAGTTATCACTCATGAAACCAGTTGGGAAATACTCTATACTCTCAAAGACTTTGGACTCTACTGGTATTAGCTCCTTTGTAAATGTTGAGATAAAATCACAAATGAAACTCTTTCAGATTGAAGACTTTTTGAGTGACTTTTTAAAAATTATGGATTAAATATTTAGAGGAACAATGATCCAATTTTGTCTTTCTTGTTTAAATTCTGAGGGTATATTTAGAAACAACATGTCATTTAAACTATGATATCTAGTGTAATGCAAAAATATTCTGCATTGTATTCACTGCATGATTTAAATATGTTTAAATGTGTGTGAGATCTGTAGTAATGGCTCCCACTTCCATTAACAGTATGAACTGTGTTTTCTCTGTTTTCTCATGATCATTTCTGTTAAAAATTTTATGTATTTATTAAACTATTTAAAGAACAAACTTTCCACATTGTTGATTTTCTCCATTTTATTTGACTTTTATTGATTTTAAAGAAAATGTGGTATATGCATAGAATATTATTTAAACTTAAAAATGGAAATTCTGCTATTTGCAATAACATGAGGGTATTACACTAAGTGAAATAATCCATTTATAGAAGGACAAATGTGGCATGATTCTACTTTAAATGAAGTTTTTATACTAGTGAAACTCAGAAGTGAATAAGACAATAATGGTTTCCAGAAGTTAAGGGGCTGGAGAAAATGGGAAGTTGTTGTTTAGTGAGTACAAAGTTGAAGTTATGATAGATGAATAATTTTAGTGCCTGTAGTAAACAATATAGTAGTGTGAAGTTCAAAATTTGTTGAGGGCAGACCACATGTTAAGTGTTCTCACCACAAAATAAAACAACAACAACAATTACCAAAAAAAAAAAAATAAATAAAAAAAAGAGATCCAAGTAAGGTTACTTTGTGAGGTAATGAGGGTTTAGGACTCTAACATATACATTTTCAGGGGCTACAATTCAACTGATAATAATGACTAGACCCAAAATATTAATCATGGTTGAGGGCAAAGCACTTTTTAGTCATATAAAGTTTTGAAACTATACTTCCCATTTATCATACTTTGGGAATTTACTTAAAGATTTGTTCCAGAAAAATTGCAAGGCTATCTGTAAAATAGGAAGATAGGAGGTTTGAGGAACAGGGGCTCCAAAACCAAAGAGAAATAAAAGATATTCTCAGCAAGACACCTAAGTGCAACCATTTCAGAGCAGAACTACAGAACTGGTGCCACTGTGAGGGATGTGTCCAAGAAAAAAAATTAAATCTGTGTCTGTTGGGATACTTTATATTACATATTTTTGAAAAGATAATATAGACCTTCAAAGGAAATTTATTGGCTCTCACAGCATTAAAGATGCTGGTTCGATTTTATATAAGAGTTGTTTGTATAACTAAACCATGTAATGAGGGTCAATTTTGTTTTAATATTTGGTGTTAAAATTCTGTATCTCATCTTGCTCTTAAGGTTAGTTCCCCACTTGTATCCAACATATTTTAGCAGCTCTCAACTTCAGATGCTTCCTCATTCACTCAGAGAAAACAAATGCACCTCTGAGTAAATGTCTTAAGATTAATTTTGATTAGATGTGAAGACCTGATTGGACCTTAGAGAATATATCATTGTATATATACAGGAATGCAAAAATTGTAAATTTGGAGGAGATAACATTAACGAAATGTTGGTATGGAATAATGGATAAGACAGACTAGGCCAGATAAAGAATATTACTGCACATGCTTTTAATTTCATGCTTTATTTGCTTAAGTAGTTCTGTCTTAAGGAGGTTCTCAGAAACCTCCACTGTGTAATAAAGAGATATAATTTTTCACTCCAGATAACCACATTCTAATAAGAACTACACACACAAACACACACACACATATATATATATATTTGAGTCTAAGATTAGAGAGAACATGTTTCACATCATTAGAGTTAAGAAGAAAAATGGCTACATAATTGGTAGTATAAATTTCCTCAATTTGTTTTGCAATAATCACTTATATGAAGTTTTCAAGAGCTAAAATATAACTAAATTTTATTTAGTTATATTTTATTTAAGAGCTAAAATATTTAGAGCTAAAATATAAATTAATAAAATAATAGTTTAAAAAATGACTATAACTGGTGATTTACTGTGTACAAGACAAAGTTCTAAATGCCTCAGAAAAATTTGTATCTCAAATCTACCCAACGAAGGAAATACTATTATTATTCCCATTTATAGATAAGGAAATTGAGATGTAGAAATGATACACAAGTCATTCAAAATTTTACTGCTAGTTTGTGACAAAGTCAGTATTTGTACACCAGCAGTCAGACTCCAGGATTGAAATTTTAGGTATTTATTAGTAGGAGTTTTAAAAGTTGTATATGTAAAATTTTGGTGGTTTTGGTTTTGAGAATTCATGTATAGAAAACACAATGGACAAAAAGATCATGACTTTGTGTTTTTATGCTAATTAGAGAAATTCAAGTCAGTTATATTTGGTCTGAAAAAACTATCAGTGAAGAGAAATAGTTTAAGTCAGAAAGCCTACTATGGTAGTTAAAATGTTGGACATGAATTTAGCCAGTTTATTCTGTATGAAAAAGGCCTACAGAATTGGGCCACACATTCACAATTAGGTAGAGATACAATTATCTGTTTTTACATATATCAAGGATAAATGACAGTGAGAGTGTGCTTTAGTCCCACTTCTTGAAATTGTATTACCTACACTTTAGCTTGCTTCTACCTTCCTTGAGCTTTTCTGTGTTTCTAGAGCAGCACCCAGGAGTTGGTGAGCAGTCTCTGAGGACTCATTTGCAGAGCTCTGTATAAAGTAGAGACTAAAATTAGATGTATTCTTATAATATCCCTGAGGTTCTAGAAACCTAATATTAGCACACCTTCCAAGTGCTACTCAGAAAAGGGACTAAGTACTGTGCTGCCCAATGTTATGTGTAGGTGTTGATTCCTATGGAAGAATGAGGTGAATCAGCCGCTGATTTCTGGTGAGCAGGTGTGGCAGTGCATGGAGAGATATATGAGCAGTGCACACTGAGAACTGGGCCATGTGGCTGACCTGCACCAGGCAGCGAAAAAAAGTTATATATTAACATGTAATGTATAAAATTATAATATATGAACATATTATGTATGCATTAAATAATAGATGCCCAAAATATGTATAAATTATGTTTTAAATTTTAAAAATTATGTGTGAAATCTCTCATGAATATCCAAGTTAAAATGTCATCCTACCAATTGCGTTAGGTTAAATCAGTTTCTATGGTAGTAGGAAGAAATAAGGGTAGTGGAGACCTACTTTTGAGAGTGGGCACCTAGATTTAATCCTTAAGTCTATAGCCTGGGTGCTGTCATTATCTTTCTGCTGAGCAATTATATTTTAATTGTCCAGAATATCAATGTTTTTATACAATACAATAAGAGTCAGTGTACTTTGCAGCACTTGTTCTCTCTCTGTTGGAATAATCTCAAAAGGATGAAGAGTTTACTCTTCAATTCCGTGCTGAAACACAGAGCTAGAAATTGATGCTAGCAACTGCTTCATCTGATCTTTCTCTTTCTCTCTCTTTCCCCTTTGTTTCTGCCCCAGAAGAAGGAGCTTCACCTCAAAAAAGTTATTTTTGACTTGATATATTTACTGTATTAAAAAATGATAATTAAAAAATGATTAGAAAGTGAAACTATGCCAAAGATGAAAGTACGGATCTTTTAACTTTATTTTGAATTACAACTGCTGTACCAAGGACCCCAGGGCAAGCCTCCTTAGCTCATTTTGAGTGATTTGGTTTATTTGCAGCATTTTAAAGGTATTACTTAAGTATTTTTCTTCATTCCTTTTAGACTATTGCAAAAGTTGATCGTTTTTCAGTTGACACAATGCTATCCAAGAGAACTACAAAAAAAAAAAAAAACTTCTCTATCACAAATACTATCTGAGATTGTCCGTGTTGTCTTCTACCCACATATCTAGTGTCTTGAAGTGGTAGAAGGAGTGACAAATAAGTATTGGCTCCATAGTAGAGGAAAAATTAACAAAGGTAAAATTAACAGGTGCTCTAAGAATACCTGGTGTGGGGTAGATAATAAACAGAGTGTGAAAATGGCATTACACAGCCTTCTTATCCTTTTCCCACTTGAAAATCCTAAGCCTGGAGGTCATAAACAATTGCTATTTCTACTTCTGGCCAGGCATCACAGGAACCAGTACTTTTCTGAGAAATCGATGTTTCTTATACTCTGCTTCAGTATCTGAGAGGCTACTGGGCTTGGGTCAGAGTTTTTACATATGTATCTCAAGGCCAGTCAATTAAAGAATTTAGGTTTTTATTGCGAAAGTGCCTATGTACATGAGGTCTTATGATTTACATTCTTATGAATCACCTAATGACACTTTGAGGGTCTGTGTGTTGTATTCACATGGCCCCATGTGCTGTCTTGATATTTCCAATGTTACTAAACAGAGGGTGAATTCCCAGAGTAAAATAATGTATTACTTGCTTTCAAAGTGAGTGGAAAGTATTAATTATTAGAAATACTCAATAAGGTTGTTGCAAATCTCTATATATAGAATTAGAACCCAATCAACAGGCAGAATGAAAATTCTGAATTTCACCATGCCCTGGTCTGTATAAATGGCTAAGGCAATGACTCAGTACAGGAGTTTCTGAACCCGCCTGCTTGCACAGTAAATGTGAATTCAATTCCGTGCTGAAACACAGGGCTAGAAATTGATGCTAGCAACTGCTGTGCTAGCAGCTGCTATGCTAGCTGCTATGCTATGCTAGCAACTGCTTCATCTGATCTTTCTCTTTCTCTCTCTCTTTCCCCCAAAAGAAGGAGCTTCACCTCTTCAGAACAATGCAGTGCAGGATGGCATACCATGGCAACAGGGGCACTTCTCACCCAGCCACATTTTTTCTCATTGGAATCCCAGGTCTGGAAGACGTCCATATGTGAATCTCCCTGCATTTCTGCTCTGTTTACCTTTTGGCTTTGCTGGGAAATGCTACCATTCTGTTAGTCATCAAGGCAGAACAGACCCTCCGGGAGCCCATGTTCTACTTTCTGGCCATCCTTTCCACAATTGATTTGGCCCTTTCTACAACCTCTGTGCCTCGTACGCTGGGTATCTTCTGGTTTGATGTTCATGAGATTAACTTTGGAGCTTGTGTGGCCCAGATGTTTCTGATCCATGCCTTCACTGGCATGGAGGCTGAGGTCCTGGTGGCCATGGCCTTTGACCATTACGTGGCCATCTGCAATCCACTTCACTACACAAACATCTTGACATGCCGGGTGCTGGTGGGCATCACTATGTGCATTTTAATTCGTCCAGTTCTGTTTACACTCCCGATAATCTATCTCATCTACCGTTTACCATTTTGTCAGGCTCATATAATAGCCCATTCCTACTATGAGCACATGGGCATTGCAAAATTGTCCTGTGGAAACATCCGTGTCAATGCTATCTATGGGCTCTTTGTGGTCTCCCTCTTTCTCCTGAACCTGGTCCTTATTGTTATCTCATATGTTTACATTCTCTGTGCTGTCTTCTGCCTCCCATCACATGATGCTCGGCTAAAAGCCCTAAGCACATGTGGCTCTCATGTTGGGGTCATCTGTGTTTTCTATATCCCGTCGGTCTTCTCTTTCCTTACTCATTGATTTGGACACAACATTCCACATTACATTCACATTCTTGTTGCTACTCTCTATTTGGTTATCCCACCCTCTCTCAACCCCATCATTTGTGGGGTGAGGACTAAATGGAAACGAGAGCGAGTGCTCTATGTACTTACTAAAAAATAAGATTCTGACCATGTTCTTTTACTAAGGACTTTGATCTCCCCTATGAAGACTGATACGTTCTTGCTTTAAGGAATATCTCCTAATCCTTCCTTATTCCTGTCAATTTGCAGTACAAGTTGGTTTGTTCCTGGATGCTGACTAATGGATTTTAACAGTGGCAGAAACTTCCATGGTATCTCAAGTTCAAAGACTGACAAATATTCTGGGAAGGATATCCTGGGAAAGTGCTGTGTCGCCTTGCCTGCATAACTTCATGCAGAATCTTTGTTTGCAGCAGGCTGCTTCTTTTATGGGGAAAGAAGATATTATACTGAGTCTTTTATGATCAGTGATTACAAATATGTGGCACTGGAAATTTAACCCTGTAAACTATGTCATTCATTTTCTTTTCTTCCTTTTTTCTTTCTTTCTTTTTTCCTTCCTTCCTTCCTTCCTGTATTTGATTACTAATTTAATTTACATTCATATTGTATTTGTTTTATATTTTGAATAATTATAACTGCATGGGATAAATCAAGAAACAAAACTAACACAAATGTCTGCCCTGCGGAGCTTGCCTTCTGCTACATCTGGCCCTGTGGAGCTTGCATTCTGTTATGCTCTTATAAAGCCAAGTCCATGGGCTCAAAAAAATCATTGCCAAATCTGTAGCTTCAAGTGGAATCATCTGCCAAATGTGTAAGTTTCTGTGCAATCATAACCAAAACAAACATATAATTTTAAAACTTTTACTCACTGATACCAACAGTAATTTAGCACTGATGTACCCTTTGCTTTTAGGCTTATAGCATAGTCACAAGTGTAGTTTTTAAAATCTAGTAATGTATAACATTTATATGTGATATATGCTGGCCTTTGCCTATCACTTTACCGAGTTGTGTTTTTTTCCATCTACATTTGATTCTAAAATACTCTATCCTAAAATTCAAGGTTTCTCATCTTAGGTCTATGATTTATTTCTAGATCCCCTGACTTTAATGTAGAAGCTGCAGATTAACTTATGCATAGCTACTTTTCACATGAGACAGAGGGCTTTCAATTGATTTAAAAATGAAGTGTCTTAAGACCAGCAATAGAGATTTGCATCATCAAATTAGTAACGTTGTTTTATATTTCTAATGACTTTAATTATTTTATCTTTTAGACTGTTAAAAAGAAACTAGTTCTAAAATATAAAAATGTATTTTTTCCTGCAAACCAGAATTAACAATTTTTAACACTGCACTTATCTCACAGATAACGCTTAATAAAATATATGCAACATGAAAGTTCATATTACCTTTATCACCACTCCAACACAGTTTCCCTCCTGATTTTAGAGGCAGTCTGGCATGTGTTTTTCTGATATCACAGCACACATTTTAGTTTTATAACAAATCATAGCATGTCTATTGGATCACTCGTTATTATTTTATATAGGTTAAAATACTTTATGTTTTGTTTTGTAACATTGATGTCATTAATGTATTCCTGTGTTTATGGACATTTGAGTTATCATTATTTCCAATTAGAAAATACGGTGCACATCTTTGTGGCATATTTTACATTTTTATAGTAATTCATTGAGGCTTTGTACTTTGAAGTAGAATTATTAAGCAACAGAATTTTAATGAATCAGAACATATTTCTGCTTCTTGATCTTTATTTTTGATTAAGTACTTCGAATATCAGAATTTGTCGCGCTTTGTTTTTGTTTTTTGGTTTTTGTTTTTTTGACTGGGTATCACTATGTTGCTGGGGATTGAATTTTTGGGCTCACGCAGTCTTCCTACCTCTGCTTCTGTAGTAGTTAGGACTACAGGTACATGCCACCGTACCTGGCTACATTTCACATATTTTGATTTTTTTTCTCACTTTTATGTTTTCCATTATTTCATTTAGTTCTTGTTTTCAAAAATCCCATTTCTCACTGATGTTTGACAGGTGCATATGCTATATTTCTTCTTCTACTAAATATTATTAAAATTTTTAACTTTCCTAGTTTCATTTTCTGTTTTCTAATAAAACTAATTTGTCCAGCTGGGGTAACATAGCAAGACCTTGTTTCTGAAAATAAATAAATAAATAAATAAATAAATAAATAAAGCCTGGCACGGTGGCACAAACCTGTAGAGTCCCTCTTTCTAAAAATTAGATATATAAAGAAAGTAATTTGTAACTAGTATACTTTGAACAAACAAAAATATTAGTCCCCCTTAGGTTTTCTGTTTTTCTTGTACATTTATTTCTTTCATGTTGTGATTATCTGCAATCCTGTTTCCAGTTTTTTAAAATAATATTCAATAACCATTTTTATTTGATGATATATATTATTAACAATTTATTTCTACAACTCTTCATGAATATATTCTTGCTTACCAATTCTTAGGAGAAACATCTCTTGCATTTTTGACCCAAGCCATATTACCAGCCACAATATACCCCTGCTTTGGTAATAATTCTAATTTTATGTCTAAGTATGTTCTAATTTGCCCTCATATTTAAATGATAAATCAAAAATTTATAAAATTCTGAATAAAATTCTGTTCTATCATCTTTCTTAATTCTTCATTCAGTTGTTTATTTTTGGCATCAATACTCTTAATTAAACATATGATACTGATCATTTTCTCACTGTTTTAAAAGAACTTTTCCCCTCATTCTTTGGAAAGCATGTTTATTTTTCATATTCCAAAATTTTAATACATTGAATCTCGATTTATAATTTTTAGAGTCATGTTCAGTATATAATAGGTCCTTATATTCTGAGATTTTATGTCTCTATTACTTCTAGAAACTTTTCAGACTTTATATCTTTAAATATTTTCTTCTCAATTTTCTTTCCATATTCTTTGGTAAGTCTTTTTAAATAAAGATAAAGTAGAAACTCCTTATTTTTCTTCCATGTATTCTAACTTTTTTTCTTTTCTTCTATCACTTGATCTAGTTTACTTTGATCCTGAAATTCATACGTAGATTCTTAAAATTAACAATTTTGATTTTCAGTATTTTGTTGTATATGTTATGATTGTTCCACCATCTCTCTCCCTCTTCTCAGGCTTCCTTATTCCCTGAGACACAACAATATCAAAATTTGGCCAATTAATAACCTTACAATGGCCTCTAGGTGTTCAAGGGAAAGGATGAGTCACACATCTATGACTTTAAATTAAAAGCTAGAAATGATTAAGCTTAGTGAGAAAGTCATGTTGAAAGGTGAGGACGGCCGATAGTGAGGCCTTTTGTGCCAAAAGGTTAGCCAAGTTGTGGATGCAAAGGAAAATACTCTGAAAGAAATTACATGTGCTACTCCAGTGAACATATCAACGATAAAAAGGCAAAACAACTTTATTGATGATATGGAAAAAGTCTTAGTGGTCTGTATAGAAAATCAAACCAGTCAAAATATTCCTTTAAGTCAAAGTCTAATCCAGAGCTAGGGTCTACTTCTGTTTAATTCTATCAAGAACGAGAGAAGTGAGGAAGATGCAGAAGAAAAGTTTGAAGTTAGCAAAGGTTAGTTTATGGAGTTTAAAGACAAAATGCTGTTTCCATAATATAAAAGGACAAGGTGAAGTAGCAAATGCTGATGTGGAAGCTGTTTGAACTTATCCAGAAGACCTATTATAGCCAAGACAATTGATGAAGTGACTACCCTGAATAACAGATATTCAAGGTCGACAAGACAACCTTATATCAGAATAAGATGCCACCTAGCACTTTCATAGGTAGAGAAAAGTACATGCCTGGCTTCTAAGCTTCAATAGACAGGCTTACTCTCTTGCTGCTACTAATGCAATTGTGACTTTAAGTTGAAGCCATTGCTCATTTTATCATTCTAAAAAGTTCAGGGCTCTTAAGAATTATGTTAAATCTACTCTGCCTGTGCTCTGTAAGTGGAACAACAAAGCCTGGATGATAGTACATCTGTTTATAGCATAGTTTACTAAATTTTTTATTTTGTTTTGTTTTTGAGACGGAATCTCGCTCTGTCTTCCAGGCTGGAGTACAGTGGCCGGATCTCGGCTCACTGCAACCTCTGCCTCCTGGGTTCAAGCAATTATCCTGCCTCAGGCTCCCGAGTATCTGGGATTACAGGTGTGCACAACCACGCCCGGCTAATTTTTTTTTTTTTTTTTTTTTGTATTTTTAGTAGAGATGGGGTTTCACCATGTTGGCCAGGATGGTCTCGATCTCTTGACCTTGTGATCCACCTGCCTTGGCCTGGCAGGGATTACAGGCATGATCCACCACGCCCGGCCATTTACTGAATATTTTAAGCACACTGAGCACACTTACTGCTCAGTAAAAAAATATTCATTTCAAAATACTACTCATTGACAATGCACCTAATCACCCAAGAATTCTGATTGAGACATATGTGATTCATCTTGTTTCCATGTCTGCTAACACAACATGCATTCTGCAGCCCATAGGTCAATAAGTAATTTTTACTTTCAAGTCTTAATGTATAAGAAATATTTCATAAGGTTACAATTGAAGTAGATAATGATTCTTCTGATGGATCTGGGTGGAATAAATTGAAAACCTTCTGGAAAGGATTCACCATTGGAGATAACATTAAGAGCATTTATGATTCATGGAGGAGATCCAAACATCAACATTAACGGGAGTTTGGAAGAAGCCCATTCCAACCTCATGGATAACGTTGAGGGGTTCAAGACTTCAGTGGAGGAAGCAGCTGCAGATATGGTTGAAATAGCAAGAGAAATGGAATTAGAAGTGAAACCTGAAGATGGAACTGAATGCTGCAATCTCACGACAAAAGGTTAATGGATGAGGAGTTGCTATTTATGGATGAGCAAAGAAAGTGATTTGTTGAAATGATAAATAATTTAGAGTATTATATAATATAAAGTGAGTAGATGAGGCAGCAGCAGGGTTTGAGAGAAATGACTAATTCTGAAAGACGCTCTGCTAAGGGTAAAGTGGTACAAAATAGAATTACATGGTACAGAAAAGCCTTTCATGAAAGAAAGAGTCTATTGATTTGACAAGCTTCACTGTTGTTTTATTTTACGAAATTGCCACAGCCACTCCAACTGTCAACAACTACCACCCTGAGCAGTCAGCAGCCATCAGATGATCATTAGCATTTTCTTCAAAGTACTTTTTAATTAATGTATGTTTATTGCATTTTTATACATAATGCAATTGCACACTTAATAGACTATAGTATAGTGTCAACATAACTTTTATATGCATTGGTGTCATAGTCTGTGTTCCTGATAATAGAATACCTGAAAATGGGTAATTTATAAATAATATAATTTATTTCTTGTGGTTATGGAGGTTGAGATGTCTGAGGTTGAGGGCCCCCATTTGGTGAGATACTTCTTGCTGGTGGGGACTCTGCAGGGTCTCAAGGAAGTGTGGGGCATCATATGGTGAGGGGGGCTAATGTGCTAGCTCAGGTCTCTCTTAGTTCCATTCCCATTAATCTCTTAATCCATTAATCCATAAGTAGATTAATTCATTCATGAGGGCAGAACTCTCATGACCCAATTATCTCTGAAAGGCCCCAGCTTTCAATACTGCCACATTGGAGGTTAAGTTTCAACATGAGTTTCAGAGACTCAGACATTCAAACTATAGCAAGCAGGAAACCAAAATATTCGTGTGACTCACTGTATTGTGACATTCACTTCATTGCAGTGGTATGGAACTGAAGCTGCAATCTCTCTGAGGTATGCCTGTATTTGAATTCGTAAACTTTCAGAAGTTTAAATTTAAAGTTTGTGTGATATAATCAAAAAGACTAAAGAGTAAGATGACAAATTTAACTTTATGTTTTTAAGTCTGTGCTTTACATCTTAAACTTGATTGTATCTTCAGTATTGTTTAAGATATCTTCTCCCGCATGAAGTAAAAAGATAGTAATTCTCCCATTTATTATAATGTTATTTTAGTGAGAATGAGAAATATATATATACATTTGACTGAAAAACGAGGGATAAAATGTTAGAATAAATGAGAACTTTCACACCAAATGTATAGACTTAGTGACATGAGAGTTTTCTCCATATGGTTTTCATAGATCAGATGTCTAAGAAGAAGGTGTTGTTATGAGCTGAGTTATGTGATAACAAAAACTAACATTTTAAAATCATTTAAAGCATTTTAAAAACATTTAAAATCATTTAAGCATGCTAAGTATTGTATTTAAGTGTATTATATTAACAACTTAAATTATTCCTCAAAAATATTATAAGCTATGGGTACTATTATCATTCTTAATTTTTCAATTGAGGAAACTGAGACAAAGAGATAATAAGAAAGTCATTCAAATTGACACAGATAGTATACATGAGAAATTCAGTGTTTGATCTGAAGCAAACTCATTTCATGAGTAGATATTTTTACTAATTATCTCTATGACCTCTGTGATATAAGTATGAAAAATTGGCAAGTGGGGGAATATAGAGAAACAATCATGGACAGAGGGCAGTGTGACCAAAGGCTCAAGGATCTTAATCCATAGACTAAACATTTAATAAACTCAGAACATATGGTGATTGAAATGAATACGAGAGCTAAGATTGAACGTGGAGTCTGCAATGCCAGGTTATTAGGCTTTAACTTAGGTAGTTAATATGGATCAAGGACTATTTTATCTAGAAAGCAACATCCCACAGAATTTGGTGGTAAAATTTCACTTAGAAATAAAATGTATCTATCTGTATGCCATATATTAAATAATAATATTTGGATGTTTTTGCTCCCACAACTGCATCTTTTTGTAGGAACATTTCTATACTCATCACTTTTCTTTGGGCTTCTATTCCCTAGATCAGAGTCAAAAATTTTGTTAACCATCTCAGAGGATTCAATCTCATGGTGCCAATTATAGTAGAAAACCCAGCTAACTCAATTTTCCTAATGTTCTAAGCAACTAAAGCCTTAATATAAAACGACTCTTCTTGGACTGTAAAAATGACAAGGCTATAGAGCCATGCTGCTTGATACTCCCCTTGAGCTTATATTTCTATGACATAATAAGGCAGGTGAATTTTCTCTTGACTTAGGTATGTATTACATTGAAATAAGTGAGAAATGATCAAGGGTTGCTGAGCTTGCTGGGCTTGATATTGATCAGGTAGTACAATTTCTGACTCTAATGGAATAAAAATCCTTTGAAACTCTTAAATGGAGATTGAAAATTTAAAAACGATCTAGAAGACCCATGGAATAGATGTATTTATTCAAAGCAATTATATAGTTTATTGGTAAAATATATGTTCTGCCTTTCCTATGGGTTATAAGGAATAAAATGGACTTCTGTAGAAATACAGCTTATTTCTTTCTCTCTCCTTTTCTCTCTCTTTCTTGCTCTCTATATCTCTACCCCCCTCCACACCTCAGAATGGGTATATTATTTATTTTATTTTTTATCTTGATGTATTTTCCACTTTGACATACTTGTCAGAAATATGGAGCTACATAAATGGTGAAACAGGAGTCTGTGCTACTTTCTTCTATCCTGAACCACTCTGCCACAAGTTGGAGACCCACAGAAGTTTGATTTCATTATTTCAGCTTATGAGTGGTTGCTTCTTCATAATTTCAAAAGCATTGAAAGAGCACCCTTATATATTTCCTTTAGAAAATTACAGAAAGTAATTTTATCTGCAAATAGACCTTTTTATTCCAGTTTTGTGTCATCAAAAACATCTTCTCCAAATACATAACCAAAGGAGTCTTCTAGGTTGTCTCTACCTACCTGAAAAGTGACTTAATCAGGCAGGAGGTATAAACCCAGTATATACTAGTTAGAGAACTAATATAGAGTGAAGAGTAAATGATGCTTTCAAATACCACTAGAAACTACCATCACTATAGAAATCCAAAATGAGCCACCGAAAAATTTGTTGCTCTTGAGAAAGTACTTTAATCAGTGAAAATCCTCAACAGGTTTATTATTTTCTTTCTGAGCTCTTTCATGTGTGGTGGTATGTGACCCAGCCTGTGTTTGCTCCTGGGGCAAGCATTCCAGGGTGTTTACGCTTTTGTTTGTTATATCTACATTTCTCATGTTATCTTTCTGTCTTTTTGATAGGATATTAGGCTTAATCTTGGCATGTGCCCTACATCAATAAATGATTAACAAATCATTAGAAGAACTTTTGCAGTTTTTAATTATAAAAATATGTGTACATCTGTGTCTGTAACTTCATGTCCTCATTAGTCTGTCTCCTCCTGAATTAATCGGCATTTCGCTTGTGTGTATCTTTGATTTTTCAGGCATTCCTCTTCAACCAAGGGACTAATAAAGGGTACAGGGCATCTTCAATTATTCCAGTTAAATATCAGACTCTATGTCATAGAATCCTTCAATTTTTAATGTGTAAGTTTACACATTATACTACAATCATTATGTAAACATAAGAATTAAGTTATTTGAGACTGATCTATTCAAATGACTGTAGATTACAAAACACAGTAACAGGACCCTCCAAATAACCTTTTCTTTTTGCTCTGCATATACTGAATGAAACACAAACTTCTTATTCAATCTTCTCTCCCCAGCTGCTGCTTCTACATGTGGCAAGTTCTCCTACACTGTGATTTGGAAAAATGTTTTATCACAACAAGAGCATATTTCACCCAGTCACATTTTTCCTCATTGGAATCCCAGGTCTGGAAGACTTCCACATGTGGATCTCCGGGCCTTTCTGCTCTGTTTACCTTGTGGCTTTGCTGGGCAATGCCACCATTCTGCTAGTCATCAAGGTAGAACAGACTCTCCGGGAGCCCATGTTCTACTTCCTGGCCATTCTTTCCACTATTGATTTGGCCCTTTCTACAACCTCTGTGCCTCGCATGCTGGGTATCTTCTGGTTTGATGCTCACGAGATTAACTATGGAGCTTGTGTGGCCCAGATGTTTCTGATCCATGCCTTCACTGGCATGGAGGCTGAGGTCTTACTGGCTATGGCTTTTGACCGTTATGTGGCCGTCTGTGCTCCACTACATTACGCAACCATCTTGACATCCCAAGTGTTGGTGGGCATTAGCATGTGCATTGTAATTCGTCCCGTTTTACTTACACTTCCCATGGTCTATCTTATCTACCGCCTACCCTTTTGTCAGGCTCACATAATAGCCCATTCCTACTGTGAGCACATGGGCATTGCAAAATTGTCCTGTGGAAACATTCGTATCAATGGTATCTATGGGCTTTTTGTAGTTTCTTTCTTTGTTCTGAACCTGGTGCTCATTGGCATCTCGTATGTTTACATTCTCCGTGCTGTCTTCCGCCTCCCATCACATGATGCTCAGCTAAAAGCCCTAAGCACGTGTGGCGCTCATGTTGGAGTCATCTGTGTTTTCTATATCCCTTCAGTCTTCTCTTTCCTTACTCATCGATTTGGACACCAAATACCAGGTTACATTCACATTCTTGTTGCCAATCTCTATTTGATTATCCCACCCTCTCTCAACCCCATCATTTATGGGGTGAGGACCAAACAGATTCGAGAACGAGTGCTCTATGTTTTTACTAAAAAATAAGACTCTTACCATGTTATTTTACTAAGGGCTTTGATCCTTCTATAAAGACCGATATGTTCTTGCCTTAAGGAATATCTCCTGATCCTTAACTTATTGCTGTCAACTTGCAATACAAGTTGGTTTGTTCCTGGATGCTGACTAATAATGGATTTTAAAACTGTCAGAAACATCATTGTAGTTGAAGTTCAAAGACTGACCAACTATCCTGGAAGGGATATCCTGGGAGAGAACTGTGGGGCCTTTGACTGCATGACCTTGTGAAGAATGCTTGTTAGCACAGGCTGCTGCTTTTCTGGGGAAAGAACATATTTTACTGAGTGTTTTTTGACTAGTGATGAGAGATATGTGGCACTGGAAATTTACCCTGTAAACTACTTTATTTATTCCTTTAATCTTTCTTTCCTTATTTTCTTCCTTTCTTTCTTTTTTCCTTTTATTCTTTTTCTCTTACTTCTGTTTATTCATGCATCATGCATTTTATGATTCCTTTAATTTATATTCATTCAATGTCTGGCCCTATGGAGCTTGCATTCTGTTGTCCTCTTACAAAGCAAATTTCACGGGTTCAAAACAATCTTTGCCAAATCTGTAGCTTCAAGTGGAATCATATGCCAAAGACATGACACTCAGTGCAATGATAGCCAAAACAAACACACAATTTCAAAACTATTTATCAGTAATACCAGCATAACTTATCACTGATTGCTTTTCGGAATTCATGACCATAACATAAGCACCAGTTAGGTATAGCATTTTTACGTCTGTGATATGTGGAGGTCTTTGCCTATCACTTTTTCCAGTATTCTCTCAATCTATATTTGACCCTAAAAGACTCTATTTCAAAATCCAAGACCTCTCTTTCCAACCTGTAATCTGTCATTTGTTCTCCCACAGACTTTAATATAGACTATGTCATATCTAGCTATGGATAGCCACATTTCACATGATGCTGAAGGTTTTCAATTTATTTAATAAGATTTCCAAAGACCAAGCAATTAATTACCTTTTGAATTATCAAACTTGTCACATTGTTTTTTACAATTATACTCATTTTGTCTTATGTAGGTTATTAAAAATATAAAGCAAAAATGTAACAAATAGCTTTGTTCCTGATACCAAAAATTAACAACTTTTTATATTGCGCTCATCTCAAAGAGGATGTTTAAATAACATGCACACAGCATGAAAGCTAATATCACCTTTAACACTGCCCCAGCAGATTTCTCTCCCAATTTCCAGAGGCAAAGGCTAGCATGTGTGTTTTCTGATTTCACATTGCAAATTTTTAGATTTACAACCAATCACAGTATTTTTGTTAATCATTTGTTATTTGTTTATATAGATTAATGTACTCCATGTTTTGTTTTGTAACATTGATTTCATTTATATTTTTATTTTCTAATAGATAATTCATCTTATTATTTTTAATTACAAAACATGCTGCACATCTTTGTATTTATTTGTTTCTACATTTTAAGTTAATTTATCCAGGTTTTATTCTTTAAAGTAGAATTCTTAGGTAGCAGGTTTACAACCCATCAGAACATATTTCTGCTTTCTTGATATTTGTTTTTTAATCACTTTCTGATTTTACATTTCCTGTTGCTTTCCTTTTTTTTCACTTTCATGATTCTTGTTATTTTAGTTCCCTTTATGAATAAAAAATTTCCTCCACTGATATTTAAAAATTGCATATCCGTTATCTGTTTTTCTATTGGGTATTATTAAAAAATTAACCTCACCAATTTCATCTTTCTTTTTTTCTAATAAAAACTAATTTGTAACTACCCTACTCTGAAGAAACAAACATATTAATCCTCTTTTAACTTTTGCTATTTTTCTTCTACATCTATCTCGCTCATGTTGCTGCCATCTGGAATCTTACTTGCAGGTTTAAAAATAGAAATAAAAACACTAAAATATATATATATGTTTTTTTTCAAATTTTATTTTATTTTAGCTTCAGATGGAACATGTGCAGGTTTGTTGCATAAGTATAGTGAATATTGCTGAGGTTTAGGCTTTTAATTATCTTGTCACCCATGTAGTGAACATAATAGCTGATAGGTAGTTTTTCAACACTTGCCTCCGTCTCTTCCTCCCCTCTTTTGGAGTTTCCAATGTTTATTGTTCCCATCTTTCTGTCCATGTGACCCAGTGCTTAGCTTTCACTTATGAATCAGAACATGCAATATTTGCTTTTGTGTTTCTTCATTAATTCGATTAGGATAATGGCCTCCAGCTGCATCCATGTTGCCGCAAAGGACATAATTTTGTACGTTTTATGCTGTGTACTATTCCATTGTGTATATGTATGCATCACATTTCATTTATCTCATCTGCTGTTGATGAACCCCTGGGTTGATTCTGTATCTTTGCTGTTGTGAATAGTGCTGCAATAAACATACAAGTGCAGGTGTCTTTTTGGTGAACAATTTATTTTCCTTTGAGTATAAGGACACATCTAATATTCCCCACCCCAGCCATGATGCCAGACACAACAGCCCCCACATTTTAGCCAATTACCTCCTGTTCTGGTAATAACTGATTATAATTTTATGTCTAAATGTGTCTTCACTTACTTTTATAATTTAATAACAGGACAAAGGTTTATAGAACTTTGGAACAAAGTTTTATTCTATCCACTTTCTAAATTAATTGTTCAACTTTTTTTTTCTAGCAAGTAGTTCTGTAATGAAAAAATATAATTCCAAACATTTTTCATGCTTTTGAAATATTTTTTCTCTGTTCTTTGGAAAACATTTTGATGTTATAATATTTCATTTTATTGAGTGTAGCTTTGTAATTTTTTTAATAAATAATGTTTGGTATTCTGTAGGTCCTTATATTCTGAAACTCTATCTTCCATGATGTGATTATCACACATTGAATGCCTGTATCAAAACATCTCATGTACCCCATAAACATATACACCTACTATACATAGCCACAAAATTTTCCAAAAAAAAGGAAACAATTAAAAATATTAAAATTAATCAAGCACTTTTACTTCCTAAGCATAAAAAAATCAGAGTACCTGGAATAGCTGGAATAATTTTCAAAATAAACATAATAAAGTGAAACTATCAGTTTTTCTGTTTTAATACTTTTTTATTGTTATAATTATCAAGTCTATGTGGTAGTGGCAGGAGGATAGAGACACAGATAAATTGAAAGTACTAGAAAAACCAGAAATAAGCCTGTAAAATATGACCATTTGATTTTTAATACAACTTGATTGAGATAAAATTAACACATCCTATATTTTACCTATTTAAATATACAATTAAATGAACTTTAGTATATTCAGAGAGTTTCGCTGCTGCACTGCAATTGATATAGGATTTGTTCATGACCTCGAAGTGAAATATCATACCTATTTATCAGTCAATAATGTTTCCAGCTCTAGAAAACCATGAATCCACTTTCTGTGGTCTATTAATTTGTCTCTTCTGAACATTTCAAATAAAAAGACTCATGTAAAATGTGTGACTTCTATCACACATCATGCAGTATGTTTTCTATTCCCAACCATATTGTAGCGTGCATCAGACCTTTATTCCTTTTTATTGATGCATAATATCTAATTGTACAGTTATACTATATTTTATGTATACAGTCATCAATTGATGGACATTTAGGTTATTTTCAAGGCTTGGCTACTATGAGTAATACTTCTATGGACGTTTGTATACAACCTTTTGCATGACATGTGTTTTCAGTTCTCCAGGGTATATACATAGAAGTGGAATTGTTAGGTTGTGGAAAATCTGTGTTTAGCAAATTGGGAAATAGAAATTAAAACCGCCATGAGCTATCACTACCAACCTATCAGAAGGACTAAAATTAAAAAGAATATATAGGAGGAAACAGCAAATGCTGGCAAAAATGTAGAGAAACTTGATCACTCTTACATTGCTGGTGTGAATTTAATTGGGCCGCCCTTTGGGAAAACAGTTTGACAACTTTTCCAAACCAAATGTGTAATTAATATATGAACCAACAATTGCACCCACGGGTATTCATATCAGAGAAATGAAAACTTATGTGCACATGAATTCCTGCACAAAATGCTTACCGTTGCTCTGTTAATAATTGCCAAACAATGGAAACAATCCAGACATCCTTCAGTGAATGAATGTTCAACTGCATCAACACATTATTGATATACACAACTGGGATGCATCCTCAGATAGTTATGCTGAGTGAAAAAAGCTTTCATACAGTATGATTCCATTTATGTAACATTATTTAGATTATGAAATTATTGAAAAAAAAATTGATTCGTGGTTTTCAGGATGTAAGGCCAAGGGAGTGGGTCAGGCATGGTAAGGACGTGACTGTGCCTGTAAAAAACAACTTAAGACATCCTTGTGGTGATGTAAATCTTCTGTATCTTCAATGTCCCAATGTTGGTATCATGGCTGTGATGTTGCTTTGCGAGATATCAGTTGGGAGAAAACTAGGAAAAGGCTACATACGGTCACTCTGTATTTCTCACAGCTGCATGCAAAATGAAAAGTACCTTATCTTTTATTTTTTTTTAAAAAAAAGCTTATTAGGAAAATAGGTAAAATGTGTACCCCTCTGTGTTTGGGTACAGTGTCTACAAATGTCAATTTGCTCAGGTTGATTGATGGGTGTCATTTATTTCTTCTCTTTCCCTACAGATATTCTACCAACTTGCTCAATCAGTTACTGAGAGTGAAGTGTTAAATTGCTTATATTTGTAGATGTCTTCATATCTCTTTAAAGTCTACTAGTTTTTGAAAAATATATTTTGAACTACTGTTGTTACACAATGCCCTTTAAACTAGTTTTGTTCTGAAACGTATTTTGTCTCATATCAGCATATACTCTTTAGCTTTTCTTTGTTAATTTTTTATGGTAAATCTTTTTCCATTTTTCTACATTTATGATACCTAGGTCTTCATTTTAAATATAGAAAACATATAAGCGGGCCTTGCTTTTTCTCCAATATAATAATCTCTAACTGTTAGTTCATGTATTTAGGCTGTTCATTTTTAATGTGATTATTGATATGTTTAGATTAAAATCTACCAGTTTTCTAGCATTTTCTTACTTATTGGATCTGTTTTTTGTTTCTTTTCCCCTCATTTTCCACTGTGTCTTGGTTTTACTCAACATTTTTAACTGAATCGGTTATCTCCAATACTGAATCATTATTAATATAGTTTTTTCTTAATATTTGCAACATGTAACTTTAATTAAGTATAGTCTATTTTCAAATACTATACTGCCTCATGCACAGTGTAAGAACCTTACCATACTATATTCCTAACTCTTCCTTTTCATTTTTAGTGTTGCCATTTTATACACATCATATAATTTTACTATTAAGTTTTACATCATATAGAATATTATATAAACGATATACAGGCATGCACTGCAAAATGACATTTCAGTCAAGTACAAATCTCATATAAAATGGTGGACATCCAGCATGCTAAGGTTAATTTATTATTGAAGAAAAATATTATTTTTTATAAATTTAACATAGCCTAAATATACAATGTTTATCAAGTCTACAGTAGTATACAGTTATGTCCTAGGCCCTCACATTTACTCAACACTTCACATTCTTTCACCCACTGACTCACTCAGAGCAATTTCCAGTCCTTCAAGTTCCATTTGTGGAAGTGTCCTATAAGGGTGTACCACCTTTTTATCTTTTATATTGTATTTTTGCTGTACTTTTTTAAATGTTTAGACATATTCAGAGACACAAATACTTACCACAGTCTTACAATTGCCTACAGTAGTCAGTACTGTACATGCTGTACAAGTTTGTGGCCTAAGAGCAATAGGCTTTCCCACATATCTTAAGTCTGTAGTAGGCTATACCATCTAGTTTTGTGTAAGTACACTCTATAACGTTCACACAACAATGAAGTTGCCTAATGATGCACTTCTGAGGCTGTATCCCCATTGTTGAGCACACATGATTGTAATATAAAATATTATAAAGTCATTTTATACTGATAACATTTTTTTTTATTTCTACAGCCACTTATCTTTAAGAGCAGCATTGGCAAACTATAGACCACCACCTCCTTTTGTGAGTAGTTTTATTGAAACAGAGATATGCTCACTTACTTTTACATTATATATGCCTCTCTTTGCATTTCAGTGATAGAGTTAAATAAAACCATATGGCCATAGAATTGCAATAGAAACCATATGACCTTGAAAACTCCACAATAATTAATCTCGCCCTTTATAGTATGTATACGGAACTCCATTTCAGCTACATTCAAAATAAGAAAGTAATTAGTTTTAAGTTCAATCATTTCATCACTGCACATGAAGTTCTAGAGTCTCTATCTTCTTGAATAGAGGGACCTAGTCTGGCAAAGCAGCTGCAATTATAGCTACCATCTGTTTAATTTTATTAATTGTGTTGTGATTATCTAACAAATACTATGAAAAAAATAATTGTGTGTATGATTACTTTCACCATGTTGCTAGTCTCCAACTCCTGAGCTCAAGGGATCTGCCTTCCTTGACCTCCCAAAGTGCTGGGATTACAGGTGTGAGCCACTGCACCACCTGGCCTGGTTTTTTGTTTGTTTGTTTGTTTGTTTTTTTGAGACGGAGTCTCACTCTGTCACCCAGGCTGGAGTACAGTGGCGCAATCTCAGCTCACTGCAAGCTCCACCTCCCAGGTTCACGCCATTCTCCTGCCTCAGCCTCCCTAGTAGCTGGGACTACAGGAACCTGCCACCGTGCCCGGCTAATTTTTTGTATTTTTAGTAGAGAAGGGATTTCACGGTGTTAGCCAGGATGGTCTCGATCTACTGACCTCGTGATCCACCCGCCTCGGCCTCCCAAAGTGCTAGGATTACAGGCGTGAGCCACCGCGCCCGGCCCTGGTTTTGTATTTTTAAAGCTTGAAGTTCATCACTAGTATATAGAAATAGAATTATTTGTTGAATGTTGATTTCTATCTCCTGAGGTCTTGGTGAACTCATTTAATAGTTTTGATAATTTTTTAATCTTTTATATTTTTTACATGAACAATCTTGTCATCTAGAAATAGGAAGAGTTTTATTTTTTTGTTTATTATCCTTTTCTTAATTTTTTAAAAAAATTTAAGTTCTGGGATACATGTGCAGAATGTGCAAGTTTGTTACCTAGGTATACATGTGCCGTGGTGGTTGGCTGCACCCATTAACCTGTCATCTAGGTTTTAAGCTCCCCATGCATTAGGTACTTGTCCTAATGCTCTCCCTCCCCTTTCCCCCAACCCCCCAACAGGCCCTGGTGTGTGATGTTCCCCTCCCTGTATCCATGTGTTCTCATTGTTCACCTCCCACTTATGAGTGAGAATATGTGGTGTTTGGTTTTCTGTTCCTGTGTTAGTTTGCTGAGAATGATGGTTTCCAGCTTCATTCATGTCCCTGCAAAGGACATGAACTCATTCTTTTTTATGGCTGCATAGTATTCCATGGTGTATATGTGCCACATTTTCTTTATCCAGTCTATCATTGATGGGCATTTGGGTTGGAACCAAGTCTTTGCTATTGTGAATAGTGCTGCAATAAACATACATGTGCATGTGTCTTTATAGCAGAATGACTTATAATCCTTTGGATATATACCCAGTAATGGGATTGCTGGGTCAAATGCTGTTTCTGGTCACTAGAGAAATGTAAATCAAAATCCCAATGAGATATCATCTCACGACAGTTAGAATGGTGATCATTAAAATGTCAGGAAACAACAGATTCTGGCGAGGTTGTGGAGAAATAGGAAAGCTTTTACAATGTTGGTGGGAGTGGAAATTAGTTCAACCATTGTGGAAGACAGTGTGTTTATTTTTTATTAACTAACTGCCCTGGCTAGAATTTCTAGCACTATAATGGATAATATTGGTGAGAATGCATTTCCTTGCCTTTCTTAGAGGGAATACATTATCTTTCACTATAAAGCATAATGTTTGATGTAGATTATGTTCGTCATTGTTCTTTTTCAAGCTGAAGAAGTTCCCCTCTATTGAAATTTTATGGGAGTTTTTATCATGTGTGGGTGTTGAATTTTGTAAAAATATTTTTCATAAATTCATTGACCAATATATTTATTTTTTTCTTATTTAGGTTGCTAAATTTATAGATTTCACTGACTTTTTAAAAATTTTTATTAAGAAGTTTAATTATTAAATAAGCGTGCTTAAGGATAACATTTTTTTTAAGTGGACCAAGACTCATGATTGGCTGAACTTCAGAAGGTTAAATGTATACACTCATCAAAGGATTTCAGGCTTAAAATGCATTCAGTACACCACATTGAACCTCTCAATACTCTAGAACATATACGTAAGCAATGGAAAATTTTTTTTTTGCACAGTCATTTGTTATTCTCCAGAGTTTAAGCTAATTTATGGAAAAGCCAGAAATCAAAAACATTAACAATCATTTATGTAACAACAACTTGTATTAGTTGTACCATTTGCAAAATTTAAACAAACTGTCATCACAACTTTTCACATATGTAAATAAAAACATCAATATCTTACTGTTCACGATATCTTATAACACCTGTCCAAACATCCATCAAGTTATAAAGAGACTGTTTTAGATTAAACCAAAGATTTATTTGACGAGATAAAACATTTGGTTGTCACTTCTGCAACTTTGTGTTGCACAGCAGTGAGTACCCCTTTGATTAATCTAGCCTTCCCCTCTTACTGTTTCATGTTCTTGGCAGGAAGCAGATATTTCTAAGCCATTTGACACACTCAATAATGTTTTACAGTGAAGAGCCTCCACTATAATTATTCTTAACTTTACTCACTATCCTATTTTCTAGTATCTTTTTCTCTCTCGCTTTCTGGATGAAAATATTTCTCAGAACACACCTCATGCCTTCACACTTCAGCATCTAAACAAAACTTCTCTGTTGACATGAGCACTTATTTTTCCCCTCTTGGGCTGGGTTTTTATGACTTTCAATTCCAGGTCAACATTTATTCATTCTCATGTATTCTGTCACACATATTTAGCATTAAACAGAAGCAAATTGCAAACCACCAAATATTGGAAGAGAGGTATTTACTTTACTTGGTTTTTCACTAAAATGGCAAGAATGCTATAAAGACTCCCTTAAATTTGTACGTTTTACTAGTTTTAAAAGGTTTGCTCATTATAAGACATAGAATGCTCTTTATGGTCTAATGTCTTTTGTGTTTTCTCTATTTGGTCTCCTCATTAATACTTTGGTTAATTGATGCATATTTTTGAGTTACTGGTCACTTAAATACATACATGAAGAAAATAAAATATTAACATCCTGTGTATCGACTGAGTTTGTATGCAGCCCGCTTTGGAGATCAGTATATCAAAACCTGGGAGGATTGTTGTTCAGACATAGTGAGTTTAAACATTTGTCCTTTCATATGTGGTAGCTAATAATCTCTAGAGCTCATTTAGCCATATTAAATATAATCATGAAGAAGAAACAGTAACTTGCATGCGTGTTCGTGTGTGTGTGCTATTGTGATATGTATGTTTCCGGTTGAACTATTAATTCACCAGCAGGCATCAATTGCTGTTAGTACATGTGGGGAAAGCATTAAGGAATTATGCTCCTGGTTTATAATTTCAGTTTCAGGGAAAAGAAGTGGAAACAGGCTGACAAAAAGTGTAATGAGTGATCAGGATGGGAGGAATTGAGTGTCATTGGAAAGGGACATACAAAACATAGACAAGCAGATATACGAATACAGTCAAAGATGGTTTAGAATGAAATAAACAAAATGCATTATGAAACAACTATTTCGAATAATAAAATTAATCCAGTTGTGTGAAATTAAATTCTAATTTTAAAAATTCTACTAGGACATATAATTTCAATTTTTCTCTCAACAAAGATATAAAAAATATTTGGGGGAATTACGGTGAAATGAAGAATGAGAGATAAATTTAGAGCTAATTTTTTCTCAGCTTATTATTCTTACTCTAAAATCTTGGTGTTTTTCCGCCCCAAGATGGTTTCCATAATAGAAGAAAGTTTTGCTAATGGTTGGACTTTTATTTTTTAGTAAAGTATAAAACCTTATTAAATTATATTAAGTATGAATTAAAATCAATGCATTTGTATACTAAGTTCATTGACAGGGAGACTCAAGACTTTTTAAAAATAGGTTCTTCCCCAAAGGACCTATTTATTCATTGTGATTTTGAAAAATACCTCTTTTGTTTTAGAATAATTTTAGATATAACAGTAATTCGTGAGGATATTGCAGATAGTTCCCATATATCCCACATTTAATTCCCCTTATTGTAAACATCTTATATTAGTGTAGTCTATTTTCCAAAATTAATGAAGCAGGTAATTGATACATATTTATTGCTAAAGCTCATACTTTATTAAGATTTTCTTACTTTTTAGCCAATGTCCTTTTTCTAATCCAGCATCCCATTTAGGA
The DNA here is from genome assembly GCF_000001405.40 of Homo sapiens. NCBI lineage: Eukaryota > Metazoa > Chordata > Mammalia > Primates > Hominidae > Homo > Homo sapiens. The sequence continues at coordinate 54,229 of NW_025791794.1, forward strand.
TACCCCATTACCATTAAATCGCTGTGTCTCTTAAGGGAAGATAAACATAAATTATAATGATATAGAACAATTAAAACAAAAAGTATGGACATTTCAAAGTTGAAGTTGCTCATTAATTTTAGACTCTATAAATTCCACAAAGTAAGGGAAGGTGACATAGTCAAAATTTTATCTCCAGCATCCTACAGTTATAAAAGTTGACACTCAGAAAATTATTATAATTGTATTGTAAGAAGCAGCTCCATGAAACATCAATTACCCAGCAAAAATGGGTGCATTCATATCTGATATAAACACTTCAACCAGCTATTCCAAATAATAGAGAAAAATAACATTACCTGCTTAAATGAAATTATAAGAGTATTGAATAGAGAGAACAAGAATGCAGCAATATGGTAAAACCCCATCTCTACTAAAAAACAAAAATTAGCCAGGCCATGGTGGTGCATGCCCATAGTCTCAGCTACTTGGCAGGCTGAGGCAGGAGAATCACTTGAACCCCAGGGACAGAGGTTACAGTGAGCTGAGATCATGCCACTGCTCTCCAGCCTGGGCAACAGAGCAAGACTCTGTCTCAAAAAAAAAAAAAAAAAATGCAGCAACAGATCTCAAAATGTGGTATGAAAAGCAGATGGAGAAATTCAATGTATTTAAATACAGAAGAGAGCCAATAAAGCCACATATTAGAATATAATTTTTATGACAAGACATTTCTCTCACTGAAATTTCATAAAATTGCATTCAGAACCTCGTATGTATTAGGTACTCTTCCTTTTCCATTCCTTGTTCCTGCAATAATATTTTCTTCACACATTTATAGATCTGCTTGGTTCTGACTCCATATATGACAGGATTGAGCATTGGTGGCACCACAACATAGAGATTGGCTAGGAGTATATGGATATAGCGGGGCACATTTCGGCCAAAGCGATGAGTCATAAAGGAAAAGAGGGCTGGTGTATAGAAGGCAAGGATTACACACACATGTGAACCACATGTGCTGAGGGACTTGAGTCGGGCTTCATGAGTAGGAAGACGGAAAACAGCACAAAGAATATGCACATAAGAAAGGGCAATGACTGTGATGTCAAACACTAGATTACAAATGGCACATAAACCATAAATAATATTGATTTTGATGCTGGCACAAGATAGATGAGCAAGACCCATGTGCTCACAGTAGGTGTGGGGAATTACATGATTCCCACAGAAGGGCAACCGCAATATAAGAAGTATAGAGGGAATGACGAAAATTAAAGCCCTCACAAACACACCAAGACCAATCACAGAAACAACCTTGTTGGTGAGGATGGCGCTATATTGGAGTGGATTGCAGATGGCCACATAGCTGTCATAAGCCATTGCCACAAGGACTGCTGACTCCATAAGTGTGAAGTTGTGGATAAAAAACATCTGGGTGAGGCAGGCTTCAAAGATGATCCCTCTGAGGTTGATCCAGAAGATTCCAAGCATCTTAGGGATGGTAGCTGTTGAGAGACCCACATCAGTGGTGGCCAACATGGCCAGGAAGTAGAACATGGGCTGGTGTAGGCTGCTGTCAGTCTTGATCACAAGTAGAATAGTGAAGTTCCCTATGAGTGCGATCATGTACACAGCACAGAAGGGAAAGCCGATCCAGATGTGAAGTGTTTCTAGTCCTGGGATCCCCAGCAACAGGAAGGAGGAGGGGTGAAACTGGGTGTCATTGGGAAGGAACATCCTGCTTGTGAATGCATAAGTCCACAGTCTACAGAAATGTATGCTCACCCAATCTGCATGTAACCACACAGGCTTCTGCAGTTCGGAGACAAAAATTTAATATAAGAAACATACATTTGTGCACATGATTTTTTGCAGGAAATTCTATCACTTTGAAACATACTGTATACAGAGCACTTTAGGTAAGTAACAAACATCTCAGGGATAAATTCTTAGATGAATTTATACAGTAAATTAAAATAAAATGTTCTACGTGATACTTTCAACTTTGCTAGCATTCTACTCTACCTAAACCCTATCAATATAACCTCACTGCCAATATTATGCTAAGATTTGCCTGAATACTTTTTACTTTAGCTATTCTCTCTCATTATTACCATCATCACCAAAGAACCCCTTTGAATTTTGAACAAGGTAGGGTTTTCCTAGCCCTTAAATGTAGTGGTGGAAATTAATTCCAGTTGATTGAATGATAACACATATGGATTAACACAGAGGGTGGGTACACTCTATTCAATAAACACACAGACTGATCAAAATTTATGCCAAAATATACTAAAAATCACTTAAAGGTTTAAAACTGTCCATTTAAAAATATTTACTCATTATTACTGTAAAATAAAATACAGAATAACAGTGAAAACAGTCGCATCAACTACCAATTATTGAAGTACTGCCTACTATTTGCAAAGCTTTGTTATGTGCAAATCATCTCCAATTTATAAAAAGAACACCCTTCAAGGAGAATATTAATTTTTCATATTTTCCATGTAAGCGATCAATGAGTTTAAGAGGCTTGTCAGATGTTTAAAATGCTTCTAATGGATGATCTGGGAAATTAAGCTAGGGATAAAAGTAGTGAATTTACATAGAAGGAAAATAGAAGGAAACAAAAGTGTAATGTATGACTTATCTGTGTTATTCACACCGGATAAAATACACACACACATGCATAATATTACACACAGGTTAGACAAATACATATTTTTTTCAAAACTCACAACATCCATCTGAATAACACGTTAGTATCTCTAGCTCAAAGCTGAGGCAATCATGACTTCAGGAATTTAAGATATATGTCAAATGTTTAATTAAAAACTAGTGAGAAAAAACAGGAGCCTTATAATATTAGATTTATGATAATGCAATCATGTTATTTATTTATTTATATTTTATTATTTGAGACAGAGTCACACTTTGTCACCCTGATTGGAGTGCAGTGGCACAATCTCAGCTCACTGCAACCTCTGCCTCCCAGGTTCAAGGGATTCTCCTGCCTCAGCCTCCAGAGAAACTGAGATTACATGCACGGGCCATCATACCTGGCTAATTTTTTATATCTTTAGTAGAGACGGGGTTTCTCCATGTTGTCCAGGCTGGTCTTGAACTCCTGGCCTCAAGTGATCTGACCACCTCTGCCTCCCAAAATGCCGGGATTACAGGAGTGAGCCACTGCACCCAGTCTCAATCATTTCAAAGTTACCTAAATTCATCTAATCTGTCTTCATGCACCTTGCTTGTAATATTTGATGGGGGAGTATTTTCAGAGCATTTCTGACCATGGAAAGCTTTTACTGTTCCATAGAAAAATGCCTTACTCAAGATTAGAGAGGTTAACAAACCCTGGCAGTTTGAAAGAAATGCCATGTAAATTATTGGGATTACTACCCAAATTAATGATAGTGATAAGTATGTAAATGATATGCTATGTAAGTCTATACCCCATTTTATAAAATGTGGGATGTTTAACAGGTAAAATAAAGAATAAATGACTACAAGAAAAAAATTGTCTGTGTACATAAAATAGCCATCTTCTTGAGAAATATGTAAATGAACAAAATTACAGGCATCATGTTTTTGAATACACAGAACTCCATAAAATATAACTAATGGTTTTCAGAAGATACAAAAATAGAAATATCTGGCACAACAATATTTTGGTGATAAATAAGTGCCACCAATCCTGTCTATCATGTCACATCAAACATTCTTTATGTGTTAAAATCTATTCTGAATGAAAACACAACTGTAAAATCACTAAGCTAATTTGTTAGTGAAATAAAATAACTCCTCTTTTAAGAGAGTTTTTTTTCCTGAGAATAACTGCTGAATAAGTTACATATATATGACTTCTTTAACCTGTGCAGAATTACATAGCTCCTTCTGAATTACTTTGTTTGGAACATCAAAGTAGTATTTGAAACAGCCATACCTCAATCAATGTGAATTGGGAATAATTAAAGAGATCATCAGACAGAAATTGTTTTTGAAAGGAAAAACAAAGAAATCAAACACAGATTTACTCATTATTTTACCTCTTATATTTTATAACTCCATTTCAAGCTAACACCTTAAGCTTCAATCTTATACTAATTTACAAGAACTCTATACTTACTCACCTGTGCACACATTTTATGTTATTGCTGTCAGACTTTATTTTTATATTTGCATCAATTAACAACTTTTTGCAGTTGTAGTTATTCTTAATACTTTTTTCCTTTTACTTTTATACTAGTGTTAAAAGTTATTAATTCACCACCATTTAGTATTACATTATTTGGCATTTGTATATATATTTACCTTTACCAGTGAGATGTATACTTTCATATGTACTAGTTAGCATCCTTTCATTTCAGAATGAATTCCCGTTAGCACCTCTTGTAAGACAGGTCTAGTGGTGACAAATTCCCTCAGTGTTGTTTGTTGGGTAAAGTCTTTCATTTGTAAAGGACAGGCTGGGTTGAGTGAATCTAGTAATCTCATTTGGCATTTTTTCCCCCAGCACTTTGAATATATCATCCCATCCTTTCCTGGCTTACAAGGTTTCTGCTGAGAAATCTGCTGATAATCAATTCTGCTGATCTGCTGATAATCAAGTAAGGGTTGCCTTTTGTGTTATAAATTACTTTTATTTTGATGGTGACAAAATTTTCTTTGTGTTTACAATTTGATCAGACACAAGCGCAACTTCTTACGGTCAGAAACGGATAACAAACCTGCAAATGTACCCCTGAACCTAAAATAAAAGTTAAAAATAAGCTTAGAACTAAAACTAGGAATATCTATATATTTCTGGTAACAAAGACTGAAAACAGATAAACTGTATCACCCCTCAAGGGAGATGAATCAATTGAAATTATCAAAAAATATGTGAAAAGGGGCTGTAAGAGCCAAACAGTGTGTATAATCTGTCCTCACCTCACCCATACTCTCTTTATTTTAGCATCCTATCCAACACTTGGCTGAAACTAAAACAGTTCTAGTTAAGTTAATTATTGATCTCTGGACACCAAACCCAAACAAATATCCCCGTCTCATCCTACTACAACTCCCAGCAGCATGTGACCCTGGATCATTCCATTCTTTGAAACAAAGTATATATATTTATATAGTTTGTTTAAGATTGTGTGTGTGTATACATATGTATATATACTAGTTTATATATACACACTAGTGTATATATACTAGTTTATATATATATATATACATGTTTAAATAGCAAGCTATATATATACACACACACCCATACACACATGCATAAATATGTATAGGTGTTTGTGTTTGTGTGTGTGTATATATATATATGTGTGTATATATGTATGTGTGTATATATATTTTGAAGTACATATACTTATTTGTTATATATTTTTGACAATTTAGTTAGACACAAGTGGAACTTCTTACAGTAAGAAATGAATGACAAACCTGCACATGTACCCTGAACTTAAAATAAAAGGTTCAAATATACTATATGTACATATATAAACATACTCATACATATATATTACATCGATATATACTGAGTATGTTTATATATAACATACTATATGTATAACATAAAAATCTCTATGTATATAACTAACATACTCGTGTTTCCTTTTATATTGCTAATCTTTTTAAAATCTTTGTTGAATATTCCTTCACTGTCAGATTTCTAAATGTTGCCATGGATACCTTAAATTTTAGATCTGGTTTTATATCTCTTATATAACTACATTCTTTCTCTAAGATTTTTTAATTCAGCAATGCAGCATTCAAATCTGTCTATGCATTGATAACTCCACTGTACATCTTCATACTTGACTCCTCTAATGATCTCCCAAGTAGTATATTTGACAACGTACTGGATATTAGAACATCTAAGAGGCACAGCAAACATCACACAATCAATAAAGAATTTTCCTTAATAATATCCTTAACATTTCCTTCTCAGTAAATGTAAATCTTACTGCATGGTTATTCAAATCTGAAAACTAGGCTTTGTTCTCCATTATTAAAACCCTTTTACCTCTGTCAAGTTCTTCAATAAGTCCCCTTGTTTTTATGTCTAATGTGCTTTAATTTATTTACTTCTGATCTTTAGCACTGTCATCACTATTTATTTTCTGCGATACTTCGTTAGCCTTTTATCTCTTTCTTTCCACTCTTGGGCCATTCTTCCTAAATCTATGTTTTTATAGCAGGTAGTAAATTCTTGAAAAACAAAGCAACAACAATGAAACATTGGCAAGTCAAGTCATTCCTCTGCTAACAAGATAATTTGTTTCTACCGCTCTCAGAGTAAAAGGAAAAACATTGCTATGATATCACTTGTGAGACTGTTACATAATGGGATCATTTTTCCTTATGTATGGAAAAGAGAAGTAGAAGTATACATCTGGTTTTGCCCCCACACATCTTCCTTCTCATCATTGTGCTCTTTTGCTCAAATTCCTTAGCTTGCTTCCCAGACAGCTTCACTCTTTCTGACATCAAACAGCACTGCCACTCTTGTTCACCAAACTACAGGCATTTTTTTCACTCTTTCTATTGGTTTAACAGTTCAAACCTCTTTTTTTTTTTCACCACTCTATTTAAACATTTTCTATCCAGTTATCTAAGATAGCCCACCACATTTTCCTTTATATTACTGTATCACTAACACTTTATTTTCTCCTACAAAATTTTCTCCATTTTCTCCTCACCCATATCCCCTATCTCTAACTTCCTAAAGCCAATCTCTCTTTCCTTTAGCCAACCTTTTCTTTCCTTGTTTCTCTTCACAAATGGCAATTGTTTTCCCTCCTAGCTCTGCCCTCCTCCCTCCATCAGACTTATAAAATGTGTATGCTACTTCTGTTTACCCATCCCTTCATTAGCTTATTGCTTTGTACTCTTACTCCTGGTTAGAATGCTCAAGTTGGGCTTCGTTCTGCCTAAGGAGTCTAGAAGGTTACCAGCTTATATACCAATGATAAAGGAAGCCTCTCATTTGTCCTGGAGTTCTGGAAGCCTGGGGGAACTGTAGCTACTCATGCTATATGGGGAGTAGAGACCTGTGGGTCTAAGGGATGTCAGTTGCTCAGGTAGAGGTACAGGGAATTTCCATACAAACTGAGAATTCCTAAGGGAGGTTCAAGTGGGAGAAAATCAAGGAAAATCTGATCCTATCTCTGCTGGCTGGATGAGCTTAGATACACAATGGGGAGTGGGTAAGCTCCAACTATGTAAATTTTCAACAGCCTAAAGGCACTATGTGAATATTAAAATTGTAGAATTGAATAAAAAGAATATGGCACTAAAATGGTTACTAGAAGTGGGCAGATTCTAGAAACTACTCAGACATTTGGTAATCTCCTAGGGAACTTCCCTAAGTGTTAAGAGTGAGCCAGAAATAGATGCATTCACAGAGAGACTGACATAGGTTCAAACGATCTCAAATGCTGCTTTAAGATCTGAGATTGTTAGTGACCATGGCCACCTGCCAGAAGCAAATCTAAAGCTAAATCTTCTAAGTCAGAATAGTATTGTATAAATTATCCTTGGACTCAAATTATTAATATTTCTAATTTATTTTCCACAAAGTATCTTGCATCAGCATAACCATGCAGAGAAAGAATCAAACAAATGTGTCATAACACCAGTTTTTTTTAAAATAGGAATAAACATAGGAGATCAAATAATACTATTTTCAAATAGGTCTTATAATAACTGTAATTAAATATACTTAAGAAAATTAAATAAAATTTGAAGTGTTCTTTAAAAAACTAGAACTCTTTTAAAGATTCAAATGGAAACTCTGTATGTGAAAAAAAAACTTGAATTAAGAAATCAAGAGTCTTTACTTCTATTCTGTGAAGGAACTGTAAAATTGAAAACCTAATTAATGCCCAAAGTTGTGTAGATCTTAAATAGCAAAGCTTTCAATGCGGGCCATCAAGATTCCTAGCTATATTTCTTACCTTGTACTTTATATATAGCCCAGAAAAACCCCAAGATGAAAATTATTTTTAAATTGTTATATTTTGGAAAGTTCCCAGAAAACTTAGAAGAAACCAATAAATACCAACACAAATATTAATACAAATCTTCTCAGGATAAATACATAGTATATCAAGAGAAGGATTGCTGATAATGAATTTCTAATATAAATGAGTAAGTCAGTTTTATATACATGTAAAAAAGAGGAGAAGGAAAAAAACACTGTAGACACTATATGTGAGGTACAGCATAAACAAACAAATTAAAAAAATAAAGCAACCTATGTGGCAGGTAAGATAATGGACCTCAAAGATAAAGGGGAATTTAAGTTGCAGAGGGAATTACGGCTGATGATCATCTGACCTTAAGATAGGGAAGTTATTCTAGATTATGTAGGCATGTTCAATGTAATTACAAACATCCTTACAAAGTGGAAGTAGGAGGCAGCAGAAAAGTCATTGTCAGAGGGATGTGATGTGAGATAGACTGCATAGGCCATTGCAGGCCTTGAAGATAGCAGGAGGCCGTGGACCAAAACATGTTGGCAGCATCCAAAAGATGGAAAAGTTAAGAAGGTGGATTCTCCCCTAAAGGTTACAGGTGTGAGCTACCACGCGGGGCCAACCTTGGACATCTTTTCCCATCTGCCAATAAGTCTGCACAAGTGGCGTGTGGCAGTCCCTCTAATGGCTGTGCCCGACTTCCCGGTCTGATCCTCCTTGATGGCTCCTTTCTTGGGTTTAACTCCGTGGGTCGCATTTCCTGCACAGCCATTGGCTGCCGGCCACTACTGCCACCTTTGTCTTAGAGAATTTAATTTGGTCATTAGTCTACCTATTGTGGTGCATGGACTAGCCCCACCCTCCTTGAGGTGTTCAGGACAAAGAACGCAGAACTGATACCAGCAATATTGTTAAAAAATGCTTAAGGATTTTATAAGACTTTTTAAAAAATAATATCATATTTTTTAAAAATATTAATTTTACCATTGGAAATCAGATAATCCTATATTTCAGAATCTGGTCTCAGAACCAGGACATGGGTTGTCTATGTACAATAACACTCAATTTCACAGGAAAGGGTTAATACTAAGCTCAGAGCTTTGCAGGTCCCATTATCTCCAGGGTGTTCCAATATAAGGTGTTGCAAAGATCTCCCTCTGGATGTTGTGACCACGGTACAAAACCCACCCTCATAAGCAAATGGAATTCAGAAGAATGTGAAGGGAGATTTGCTTACTTCTGCAGGTGTTTCTGCTGGTAGGTAACATTTTGGAATTATGGATTCTGATCTGTGGCTGAGAACAATGAAAAGAGCAGAAGATGATAAAATAGGGGAAAGAAAAGAAAACCTTCTTATTGAGGGAAGTGGATAAGAGAGCTTACTGTAAGAATTTATTGGCATAATTTCATATACACTTGAGCAACTACTACCTTCAATTGTTTCTTATACATCTTACACAATCTTTGTGTGAAGCTCTGACATCTTTTGATACTTTTGCCATTCTGTGCACTAGAGCTCTTCACAGCCAGGTAGTGATCTATCAAATTTCTTTCCCTTCATGTTTTCTGTGTATTTCTCACTGTTCCCTCTCCTTTAGTCCTTCTAACTTAATCTAAAGATTAGATAAATGGTCCCAACCCAGGCCCATGTTTGACACGGAGAAAAAACCATAATTGAAGTTACCTTAAACCATTCAGAAATTATCCCTCTCCAGTATAACACAACCAAATTACATGCTACTTTTCTCTGACAGAAAGTAGTCCCAATCATTTTTCAATGGTGCAGTTTCCAAATGTGTGATACAATTTATGTACAAATGTCAAATGATAAGAATAATCATTTGTACTGGATTATAAACATTAAAAATGCTACCAAAATATTTATATGCAGATAAAGTATCAGGATTGAATGTCTGCTAAATTATGTAAAGGATTGCCTGACAAACTGTATAAGCAAGTTCACTATAGCTTTTTACTTTGTCATGTTCTCATCAATAGGATAACCAGTCACTGTAATACACTTTTTTGATGAGACATCTCGAGTCAGACATACCTTGCAAAGCTCTTGCAATGCAGGCATTTTACTCTCATTTCATAGGTATGGAGTCTTAGACTTAAAGAAGAAAAATAATGTGTTCAATATTACATGGAAATGAGAAACAAAACATAGACTCAATTCCTAGTGTTGGTTTCTAAACATTATTCCATTTTCATATACTAGGCCCTGTTAAGTTAGCTAAACCAAACTCACAAAGAAGAAATCTGAATATAGGATTCTGTCACATCTCTTTCACCAGTCTCCTCAATTCCAACACCACATCTTGCATATAGTCACCACTGATGAAATTAGGATAGTTTTCCAAATAGTTATTTTTTTCTGAGTTACTCCTCTTCTGTTTCCCAATTTGCTTGTTTTGGAATAATTATCTTAACTCAATTTCCTTTTCTTCTCCCTATACCTGATCAATTTCTACTTTCTAAGATTTCTTAAGAAATTTGCCCAACACCCAAGCTGCAGTGCACCCTTCCAAGACATACACACACACACACACACACACACACACACACACTAGTGTGTGAAAGAGTTTTTAATCACAGTGTGCTTGACCACAGTTTTATAAAGATAAGATACATCATAGCAACACAATATAGCAAGACAAATGCTAGACTCACTATCAGGAAGTGGTGTGTACAAATTAACTTACTTTGCCTGACAACTTTGTGATGTTTCATAAACTTGAACACTAATGTTTGTGTGTGTACATGTTCGTAAATCTGTTTCTTTCTTGACAGTTATCAGCAGAAAGACAATTAGAAATAGCAAGGTTAATCAACAGATCTGAAATGAAGAGGGATATGTGCATTCCATTGTAAGTAGACCCAGAGTAAGAAGATTATCTTGAGAGGGTTATCCAGAGTAAGAGGTTTCATTAATAAGACCTCAAGGCAGGGTTCCTCTCTAATATTGGCACCCACAAGAAAGGAGAGATTGGAAGATGACTTGGAATGAGAAATGGACTTGCAGACTTAAACGATAAAACACCTGCACACATCCAAAATTATCTTAGACTGTTCCAGTTGTATACATTTGTGGTTTCTTCGAAGAGTGGATTACATATTCTCAGCTCATAAATGTGAACTATAATGGGTCTGGTCATATTTAAATCATGTGTCTACTTATTTGTCCATAATGTATGTATCTATGAATTAAGCAGTTTCTCCATTAAACAATGTTAAAATATTTTCAGGAGAATCTTATGTGCATCTAAAGTAGTAAGGGAACAATTTTATCTCACCAATATTTTATAAGTTTACATTGCTGATTTGGGTAACTGTTACAACTACTAACACTAACTTTAAACCACTATGTTGCATCAGAAAATAAACCTTTAGTTCATCTTTTGCAATCAGTCACAGCATATAATCTGGTACTTACGTGGTAGATAATTAATGTTTGTTGAACTAAAATATTGAATTTACTTGAATGAATCTAATGAAGTACATTTAAATCTTTGGCCACATGTTACCATTAAATTGTACGTACTTTCAAGCCTCTATGATGCAGAAATATAGCAGATATTAGTTTCACTGATTTCTTTGTTTTCTGTGTGCACTAAGCAAGGATAAGGCCCACTCAGTGAACGAGAGACATTTAGTTTATAATATATCTTAGCATAAAAAGTTCCCAGAAGAACAGCCTCAATGAATACCACTCTATTTCATCCTTACTCTTTCCTTCTTCTGGGAATTCCTGGGCTGGAAAGTATGCATCTCTGGGTTGGTTTTCCTTTCTTTGCTGTGTTCCTGACAGCTGTCCTTGGGAATATCACCATCCTTTTTGTGATTCAGACTGACAGTAGTCTCCATCATCCCATGTTCTACTTCCTGGCCATTCTGTCATCTATTGACCCGGGCCTGTCTACATCCACCATCCCTAAAATGCTTGGCACCTTCTGGTTTACCCTGAGAGAAATCTCCTTTGAAGGATGCCTTACCCAGATGTTCTTCATCCACCTGTGCACTGGCATGGAATCAGCTGTGCTTGTGGCCATGGCCTATGATTGCTATGTGGCCATCTGTGACCCTCTTTGCTACACGTTGGTGCTGACAAACAAGGTGGTGTCAGTTATGGCACTGGCCATCTTTCTGAGACCCTTAGTCTTTGTCATACCCTTTGTTCTATTTATCCTAAGGCTTCCATTTTGTGGACACCAAATTATTCCTCATACTTACGGTGAGCACATGGGCATTGCCCGCCTGTCTTGTGCCAGCATCAGGGTTAACATCATCTATGGCTTATGTGCCATCTCTATCCTGGTCTTTGACATCATAGCAATTGTCATTTCCTATGTACAGATCCTTTGTGCTGTATTTCTACTCTCTTCACATGATGCACGACTCAAGGCATTCAGCACCTGTGGCTCTCATGTGTGTGTCATGTTGACTTTCTATATGCCTGCATTTTTCTCATTCATGACCCATAGGTTTGGTCGGAATATACCTCACTTTATCCACATTCTTCTGGCTAATTTCTATGTAGTCATTCCACCTGCTCTCAACTCTGTAATTTATGGTGTCAGAACCAAACAGATTAGAGCACAAGTGCTGAAAATGTTTTTCAATAAATAAAACATAGCTCATTTATAAATATCAGATTGATTATCAATATTATAAATAATCATATTTACAATGAAAGTGGCATGAATTTTCTATGTTCAAAATAATAACAGAACATTTGGAAAGTATTTAGGACCATCTTAGGGGAGGACTGAAAATGGCAATCATTTGGCAGGTGCTACCCAGAAATGGAAAGGTAAGCCCATGTCAAATGGATAGATAAGAATGTTTTCTAATATTCCATTGTTGGGACATGATTCAGATTCCTAATATGAAATAATATGAACACGTTGTCCTGCATCCTTTATGACTGAGCATAGCATAGCCATAGGCAATTTAAAGCAAATTCAAACAAAAAACCAGAAACAAGCCAACAAAAAAACACTATAAAGCCCTTTATATCTTGAGTTTAAACAAAAATATCGAGGCATCCCAGTAAGTGCTGGTTCTATACAATAAACATTGGAGGATTTTCCATATACCTGGACTATCAAAAATAATGTTATTTTTGACTTTGCCATAATAACGTTGGAAGGCATAAAATTGATACTATGAATATGATAGCTATGTAAAAAGCTTGAGGTCTTCCACCATAAAGAGAATAGCAGAAACTTAGAAATCTTGGTAAATTTGTAGTCCTTTTTTTACAGAAAAAAAAAATAGTCGTGTTGTATTTTTTATGTGGTGGACAAGTTTTTATAAAATCTAACTTACTGATAGTTCTTTGAAAACGAACTGTTCTTTTCCAAACAATATTGTTTATGTGTCTTTTTTTGTGCCATCCCTTAGAGAAGTTTCACTTTTATGGAATGTCAAAAGTCCAAGTGATCTTCTAAGTCTATCATTACCTAAGTGTTTTTTGTTGTTATTGTTGATTGTTGTTTGTTTTAATGAAAGTTTAGTTCCATGTGATATAATTCAGTGCTCTCCAGGTCCATGTGACATTATTGACATTATGAATAGACAGATTCAAGAGAAAATGTGATCGTGAAATTTGGAAAATTCTAACTTTCTAACAATGTATTTATTGCAGGACCTCTCAGACTTTTTAATTTACAAATACTCATTTGAAACTTTGAATCAAGATTGGTGTCAGAGTGCTCTTCTTAGGCCATCCCATGACACATATTCTATAGAATGCACTTTTTAAAAAAATCCTACTTATTGTTATTATAATGGAAAATATGTCAAATATTCTTAGGGGTGGATATGTATTAATTAACATTACACCCTGGACTAGAAAATCTACGAAAAAAGTCAGTTATACTGTGTATTTATAGGCATTATACTTACACATTAATTATGTAAATATAGACTTTTCCTGGACCCCAACTGTGAGACTGAACTCATCGTTTACCTATTCATTTATTCTGTTGTATTGCTTCAGCCTCAATCCTAGGCTAGCACCATGTTCCTGGGCCTTGGAGGTGAAAAGTTCTCAGTGAGTGATTCTGCCCCTCCCCAAGCTGCAGGAGACTTCAGATGATCCTGATTCATGCTGTGGTTACAGAATGTATTTCTGCTCCTTTAAGGAACAATGATCTTCACATGTTCTGTTCCCCTGGTGGCTGAAGGCATTCGCTCCTCAGGGAAGAGGAGAAACAGGGAACTGGGTGAAGTGTGATTCCCATCCTTCTGTGGCTGCTATTCCCCTCTACCAGGTCTGTTCCATTAGGAACGCTTTTTCAGGCAGTCCTGCCTCCAGTCTTTCTAACAATTACTTGGTAGAAGTCTAGGGAGGACAACCTGAGTGGGAATGAATTCCCTCATTTCATATTCTCACATAAGTCTATACTTCACTTTGAGGAATTTGCTTTAAAATTTTAGTAAATCCTTTTTACTGGCTTGTGTAGAATCTGACATCTGGCCCTAATAAACTAGGGATCATGTTCCAACTTTTCTTGAAGTTGTCTATCTTTCTTTATGTTAGAATTAGTTGGTTGCTCTGTGATTTTAACTAGTTGATCAGTCCAAGAAAATTGCTAGTTTTTTTTTTTATTGTACACTTTTTTTGGCCATAAGCTTTTGAGAGCAATGGTCTTCCAATGTATACATGCTAAATAAAAACAAGAAGTCCTGGTAGAAATTTTAAAGCATGCTGTAGCATTTAAGTGGAAGGGCATCTATATCCATTGGTAACTTCCTATAACTCTGTTTCTCCAAGGATGGGCTGTGAACCACTGAATCATAAATATTATGATGATTGTTGAAAAGCAGATGTTATGGAAATCACCACAGAAATTTTGAATCTGATTGCCTTACAGTAGACCCAAGCAATCTCTAAGAGGCTTCAAGCATTCTAAATTTGAGAACAATCACTCCTGAAAGTTGAAAGTTGATTAATAATAATCATTTGACCATCAAAAGGAAATACCAGGATCATCTTTAGAAAGAGAGGTAGTTGCATGCAGAATTGGCCAAACCAAAGCTGAACACCACTACCTCTATACCTCTACACAAACACACACACACACATGCACACACCTCTGACTTGGCCTAACCCACAGCAAACTTTGTTTTTACTTACCTGATATTCCTGATGTCTTGTATTCAGAAACTATTACTATTTCTATATAGTATAGTGGGTAAGAATATAAATCTAGTGTCAGACACCTTAGGTTCAAATCCTGGCTCCACCTTTACCATCTCTGTGACTGTGGAAAAATCAAATAATTTCTGTGTGTCTCTGTTTTCTTATTTGTAAAATAAGCATATCAATATTAGAAATCTTGTCAGTTTGCAGGAGGAATTACTGAGGTTAAGGGATCTAAAAATTCAGAATGAACTAGCGGAATGTCAGCACCGTATAAATGTTATATGTTATACTGGAAAGAAATGTCTATGTATTTGAATCAACTTTATCAAACTACTGGAGCAACATGTTTCTCCCCACTCTTCATGTTCAAGTTATAACCTTTCTCCATATCCTGATTCACTATGTGCTAGGGAGAACGATAAGAATAATGAGAAAGGTAATAGATTTGCAAATTTGGCAAGCATAAACTGAGTAAGTTTAATTAAGCACCCCTCCCCTCAAACACACACACTCTTTTGGTAGTAAGTCTTTCTAAATAAGTTGTATGTGTTTCCTCATGCTCCGCCACGTGGTAAATCTTCCCATTCTGATGAGAAATATATGCCTGACTCTGGGGGTTACTTACGGTGTTCACTGGCTCTCAAGCCAAACAAAGTCCTTTACAATAGCTTTAATCACTAAGAAATATTATATCTAGAATTCATCCTTCATTATTTTATTTTATCTCAATCTCTTCAGAAATCATATGGGAAAGAAAGGCTATATTTTTGTGTGTCCAACACTGAGATCCTGCAAATCATTACAAATGTTGCCTTAAGTATAATTGTATTTCCAGCGAATTCTGGTTAGTAATTAAACACTGACTAAATGAATCTAACTAAAGTGAAGGTGGTCATGGAGAATGGTATGAGCAGTAGTAACAATTTTGACAGCTGAGTCTGTGAGAAGCTGTGTTGCTGAAAGCCCCATTCAATGACATTCAGCTGTATATAAAATAGTTGTGAGACTACAGAAAAGTTATTTCTTTAGAGGTAGACTTCAAATCTCAAGTTCTCTATTCAGTAACCCATCAAATATGAGTGTGCTGAGCTATTTATTATCTGGATTTCTATGATAACCCCCAAATATTGCAAGGGTTGAGTGATTATGCATACAGAATGTACAGTAAAGAGCTGTGGACCGCTTAATAATATTTATTCTCTTCATAATTTTTAGCTTGAGGGGTAAAGTACTTGATTAAAATATTTTTCCAGTGGTCAACTATTAATAACTTTTCTGTGCCTTAATTTGCTCAATTTTAGCTGCATATACAAGTTACCTAGAGAGTGTTAAAAACACAAGTGACAGAACACTACCCCCATTTCAGTTCTTCCTTCTCTAGTTTCACATGAACAAACTCTCATACAGTATGTAGACTTCTGTCTGTGTTGTTCACTTACTCTAATGCCTGTAAGATTTATCCACGTGAAACTACACATACCAAAAAAAAAGCAGCAAGATTTAATGATGGTCACAGAGAACACATAATTACCTACAAATTCATGGTAATTTGGCCCACCACACACTGATTAAAAGCAAAAATAGATTTCAGAAGATTATAGAAAATGACTTCAAAAGACTAAAAGAATGTAATAACTGGAAAGTAGAATTATGTAGCTAGAAAAATTTCATTCAGGAATGAGGGTAAAATAAAGAAAACTTTAGATGAACATATAACAGAGAAGTTAGCACCAAAAGACTCTCAAGAAAGTGCTGAATTGTGTACCTGAGAAAGAAAGAACTTCAGCCAAGAAGGATAAACTGTGGCAAACAAAAAAAGTAAGTCTTATGATAAGACATACATGGCCAACCAAAGATCTATGATTATACATCATGTCGATTTTAAACATCTCTTCTTCTTCTTCTCCCTCTCCTTCTCCTTCCCCTTCTTCTTCTTCTTTCTTCTTGCCGCTAATGATTCCCCATGAACTTTTTGCTTTGTTTTGTTTGTTTGTTTATTTTGAGAAAATAACACTTTGATAAAGAGTTCTACTTAGTAATATATCTGTCTCAAGATAATGATTGTAATAACCTTCATACATCTTAGCTAAAGAGCCTCTCAGGATTGAAATGAGCAACACCATTCTGGACATCATAAGGAAGGATAATAGGCATTATATAAAAATGCTTCTTCCTTTTGAAAATTTTTTAACATATCTGTACTCAGCATAGTGAATATAGAATAATCTTTATAGATCTGAAGAAAATATCATGAGACTATAAAATATGTAGTCATATCATTTAAATGGCCAAATGTTGCTAATAAACTCAAACTGAATATTTTTTTATTATATATAAAACATATGATCTCAAGGTTTTAAATGTTTAAGATTTCAGGGAGGTACACTAGGCTTTTATCCGTTGAAAACATTAAGAGATTTTTTTTGACACATGAAAAATGAATAAAATTCATCATCACACATTTTGTTAAGCAAATTTAATCATCATATTTAGTCATCATATATCAGAAAGAGTTGATAATAAAGTAAGATTTCCTTAAGAGGGGGGAAGGAGAAACAATGTAGGAATAAACTGAAAAATAATTGCAGCATTTTAGAATAAATTCCAAAGTGTTGTCAAAATAGTCCCCAAAAAGACACAGTTCAAAGTCAGATTTTCTCATAGCCTCCTCTTCTTTTTTTTTTCCTTTCCTCTGCCCCATGACCCAAACCCTACTCTTCTTTTATTAATCTGGTTTCCAAATATGTTCAGATTGATATCTTCTATAATGGCAAGATTCAGATAGTTATGACAGTTGAAACTTTGAAATACACTGTTTGACAGTCATATTATTCAAATTATTAATTTCAAACAGTCTAACAAGATTCAAATGTCAAGTAATCAAATTCAAATATTTACCACTACTTGGTAAATATTTCTAAAGTGCATAGAAAATCTAAACTTATATCTGTTTAAACTTATAATTATGTTTAAATAAGTTACTTTCTACAGAAAAATCTTAGTTTTCTGATTATTAAAAGAGGGCCTTAATAAAAAGACCTTACATTCTAAGATAATACAATGTTTTGTTCAGATATTTCTCACCAACAAAAATGATTTACTTAGAGGCTTTGAAAAACTGAAAACTTTAAGGAACCTGTCCCAAATCCTTTTGGTTCTTACCCCATAGATAATGGGGTTCACCATGGGTGGGACAAGAAGATAGATGTTGGCCACAAATATGTGAAAATGGGGAGCCACATGGTGCCCAAACCTGTGGGTGAGAAACGAGAAGAAGGCTGGAGTATAGGATACTAAGATGACACAGACATGGGAGCCACAGGTGCCCAAAGATTTGAGCCGGGCATCTTTGGATGGGAGCTGGAAGACAGTGTGGAGTATGAGGACATAAGAATAAATGATCAATATAAAGTCTACCACCCCAGTAAGGAAGGCAACAATGAGGCTGTAGGCTCTGCGGAATTTTGTCTCAGCACAGGCAATCCTGATGAGGGCCATGAACTCACAGTAGGTGTGAGAAATGATATGGGTTCTGCAGTAGGGAAGCCAGTGTAGTAGGAAAGAGTGAGGACTGAGAAGTGCTATGCCCCTGAGAACAATAGCTAGGCCCACTCTCCCAATTACAGCGCGTGTCAGAATAGCTGAATGTCTTAATGGATTGCAAATGGCCACATATCGGTCAAAAGCCATGGCCAGGAAGAAGCCAGATTCCATGGTGGAGCAAGAGTGAATCAGGAACACGAGTGAGGCAGGTTTCAAAGCGAATCTCTCCATCATGGAACCAGAAGAGACTGAGAAGTTTGGGCACAGCTGTAGAACACACAACAAGATCAACTACAGCCAGCATGCATAGGAAGAGGTACATTGGCTCATGGAGGCTGGGCTCTGTCTTGATGATAAACAGAAGAGAGCCGTTTCCCAGTAGGGCCAACAGGTAGACCACACAAAAGGGGATGGAGATCCAGATGTGAGCAGCTTCCAACCCAGGAATGCCAATAAGAATAAAGGTTGATGGACGGGCATTGGTGTTATTGTATGCTGACATAACAAGGGTCAAATGTTTTTACTTTCTCTTCATAAATTTTTCCTCAAAAGCAAACAAAAAAATAATTAATATATTTTGAAATCTGGTGGGTTAAGAAAGTTAAAGTAGAGGGAACTGTAGGTCATGGAGAAATTACAATGTCTATAAAAATTTAGATAGAAATTATTTAATTATTTGACAGAGAGTCGTATATTATTACAGAGTTACTCTACCACAAAAAGGGTACTGTTAGAACAACATTTTGAAAATCGTCTTCGTCCTCTAATAGTTCTTTTTGTTTATGTGTTTGTTTTGTTTTCTTCTTTTTAGAAAAACAATTGATAATGTTCATCAGACACTCTCTTTACTATTACAGATATTTGTAGATTATAGGATCTCTATGATCAGGAAAAATAACCCTTAAGTCAGAGTACAATGCTGTCTGGTTTGGAATATGTATAGCAGACTGGACCTCAATGTTGAACTGAAATTATGAAACATAATTTAGCTTCTTAATTTGTTTGAAATTTCATACCCAAAGTTACTGCTTAATTTGGCTATTTGACCTTCAGTGTCTGTAGGGGATAGATATTCCCTTTTAAACATAAAAACAGCTATATGTGTCAAGAAAGCCTTGGAAAGTCTAAGGAATATTATTTTTGAATTAGGACATATACTGGAGAAAATAGGAGTGTAGAAAAAATAAGATTATTTAACACTTATATAATAATACAATAAGTAACATTTCTAAGTTAGTTAGTCACTGATTATGACTCAGGTATTTTCCTGGGAACATTTTATGTATTAACTCATATAAATTTTATTCACCTTTTTAGATAAGGAAAGTTTAAGTAACTTGTACAAGGTTATATAGCAGGTAAGTGATAGACCTAGTTTCTAGCTCAGACACTGATTCTGGAACCCCCATATGCAATTAAAAGGATGAATTGCCATAATTAAGTGACAGTCTATACTTGTGAAGATACAGAGGATGGGAATGATTCTGTATATAATACTAGCAAATACAATCACCATTAATTTGAATATGACTACTTCTTGAAAGCTCTCCCCCTCACCATTTGTAAATGCCATAAAGAAGCTTGCCCAAATTATAGCCTTCTCTTATTAGTTAACCTGTCCCCAATGCACTTACACAAAGCAAAAGAGCTCTTACCTGAAAAAGACAATTAACATAACCAGACTTTCTCCATGTTACCCTGTTCTAATTAAAATTAGATTTATGTATATATCCTTGGGCTAATGCATTTTAACGTATTTCCCTTTTTTCCTTAAAAAACATTTTCTGTGCTTTTATCTATATTTGTGTTCCTATCAGCATTCTCATACTCCTCATTCACTTTTACCTTCACTCTTTCTATTTAACTTTTCCTTTACACAATATAGATACATTTCCCCAATGGGAAATAGGTAGAGAATTTAGGTAAAGAAAAGATTAACAATGATATTAATGCAAGTGTCCAAATACTTAAAATAGGTCTT
Source organism: Homo sapiens (assembly GCF_000001405.40). Classification (NCBI taxonomy): domain Eukaryota; kingdom Metazoa; phylum Chordata; class Mammalia; order Primates; family Hominidae; genus Homo; species Homo sapiens. The sequence continues at coordinate 74,867 of NW_025791794.1, forward strand.
ACTTGCAATCAGGAAATTAAAAATTAAAATGAATATGACACAAATTATGCATTGTATTTAACAAATAAAATAACAAGATTGATTATAGCAAGAGTAAGTGAAGCTTGAGTTAAAAATAAACTCAAGAATAATTGGTAGGAGTGTAAATTGGCACAACTTTTAGAGTAAGATTCGTAGTAACCATTATTATTATTAAAAATCATATTTCTGGCAAAAATAATTGACATCTTAGGTAATATTTTACATATATATATCAAAATATATACAGTGATTCTCATTGGAAAACTGCCTATATTAGAATAAATATTTAATCACTCAAAATGTCCACAAATAAAATAATAGTTAAAGTGATAATTCAAAGAAAAGAGAGAGAGAGACAAAAGCATCAAGTCAAATATAAGGGAATCTCCTAGATTCTTAGCAGACTTCTCAGCAGAAACTTTACAGGCAAGGAGAGAATAGAATGGTATATTTGAAGTGATGGAAGGAAAAAAAGCCAGATAAAAGGACTACATTTGGCAAATCTATCCTTCAGAAATGAAGGAGAAATAATGTCTTTCTGAGACAAGCAAAATCTTAGAAAATTTATCCCTGGGCAAGTCCTATAAGAAATACTCAGAGGAGTCCTGGATCTGGAAGTAAAAAGATGGTATCTACCAACATGAAAACACATAAAAGTATAAAAATCAATGGTTGAGCAAACATACAAATGAGTATGAGAAAATAAGCAAACATTATTAGCCCAGAAAACCACCAAACTGCCAAGTTAAACAGTAAGAGATGAAGAAAGAAACAAAGGTTATAAAAACAATCAGAAACAAAAAAATTACTGAAGTAAGCCCTCACCTATCAATAACAACCTTGAATGAGAGTGATCTAAATTCTGTCCCCCATCAAAAATATAAAATGGATAAGTGGATAAAAAGTAAAACCCAACTGTGCTGATTACAAGAAACTTACTTTACCTAAGTACACGATAAACTGAAAGTGAAGAGATGGAAAAAGATATTCCACACAAACAAAACCAATAGTATGTGGCAGTACCTGCACTTAGACAAAATAGATTTTAGTCAAAAAAAAATATAAGAGAAAAAGAAGGTATTTATATTATAATAAGAAGACCAATTGAGTAAGGGGATATAACAAATATATAGATAGATTAGATATATACTTAACACTGGAGCATCCAGATATATAAAGGAAATATTACTAAAGCTAAAGAGAGACATAGACAGCAATGTAACAATAGTTGGGGATTTCAGTAACCTACTGTCAGCAATGGAGAGATCATCTAGACAGAAATCAACAAAGAAACAATGAACTTAAACCAAATGTACAGAACATTTCATCTAGTAGAAGTAGAATACATATTTTCTTCAGCACATGGAGCATATCCTAGCATAGACCACACATTAGGTGACAAAACAAGTCTCAATAATTATTTTAAAAATTAAAACCATATTAAGTTATATACCCAAATAGTTATCAAGTATGTACTTAGATCATAATGGAATAAAACTAAAATTAATAAAAAGAAACTTTAGAAACTGTATAAATACATGAAAATAAGACAACATGCACCTGAAAGACCATTGGTTACATAAAGAAATTAAGAATGAAATTAAAAATTTTCTGAGAATAAATGAAAATAGAATATGAACATATAGATAGAGAGACAATATAGTAGAACATATATAGATAGAAAATAGAGCAATATACCAAAACCTATTGGTTACAGCAAAAGCAGTTCTAAGAGGGAAGTTAATAGCCGTATACACCCACATCAAAAAATAGAAAGATTTCAAATAAGCAGCCTAATCATGCACCTCAAGATCTAGAAAAGTAAGACCAAACAAAACAAAAAATTAGTAGATGAAAATAAACAATAAAAATGAGAGCAGAACAAAACAAAATAGAGACAAAACAAATATAAAAATAAATGAAACAAAAATTGTTTATTTGAAAAATTAACAAAATAGGCAAACCATTATATCAAATGGAATCCAATAGCACATCAAAAGATAATACACCATGATCAAGTGGTATTTATCCTAAGGATGTAAAAATGGTTCAACATAAGCAAATCAATTAATATGATTCATCCAGTCAAGAGAATAAAGGGAAAAAAACCCTGTGATTATCTCAACAGACACAGGAAAAGCATTTCGTAAAACTCAACATCCGTTACAAAACACTAATGAAAAAAACTGAATAAGACACACAAGAAAAAAATGGAAGGCCATCTTATGCTCAAGAATTGAAAGAATTATTATTAGTAAAATGACCATAATACCCATAGCAATCTGCAGACTCAGTACAATTCCTATCAAAACATCAATGATGTTATTCACATAAATTAAAAAGTAAAATAAAATCCATGTGGAATCACAGAAGACCCTAAAAAGTCAAGACATCACTGAGAAAAAGGAACAAAACCAGAGACATTAGAGTCCCTGGCTTCAAAATAATCTATAAAATTATAGTAACAAAAGCAGCATGGCACTGGCATGAAAACAAATCCATATACCAATGGGACAGAATAGAGGACCCAGAAATAATCCATGTTATTTATAGCCAACTTATTTTCCACAATGATGTCAAGAACAAACACTGGGGAAAGGACACCCTCTTCAATAAATGATGCTGGAAAAAACCAGATATCTGTATGCATAGTACTAAGAGTAGACCTTTGTCTCCCACTAAATACAAAAATTAACTAAAAATGAATTAAAGATTTAAGTGTAACACTTGAAACTATACAACTACAAGAGTAAAACATAGGCGGAATCCTTCAGAACACTGGTCTCGGCCAGGATTTTATGGCTAAGACTACAAAAACATAGGTAACAAAACAAAAATAGGCAAATGGGACTAAAACTAAAAAGCTTCTGCATAGCAAAGGAAACAATCATCAGGATGAAGAGAAAACTTGTAGGATGGGAGGAAATATTTGCAAACTATTCATCCAACAAGGGACTAATATCCAGAATATGTAAGGAACTCGAACAAATTAACAGGAAAAAAATAATCTGATTTAAAAATGGGCAAAATGGCTGAATAGACATTTCTCAAAAGAAGACATACGAATGACCAACAACTATATAAAAAAAGTTCAACATCACTAATAATCAGATAAGTGCAAATCAAAATTACAATGAGCTATCATTTCACCCTGTTAGAATGGCAATTGCCAAAAAGACAAAACATAATGAATGCTGGCAGGAAGGTGGAGGACAGGGAACTCTCACAAAATGTTTGCAGGAATGTAAATTGGTACAGCCATTATGGAAAAGAGTACAAGTGTTTATCAAAAAACTAAAACTAGAACCACCATATGATCCAGCAATTCCATTAGTAGTTATTTATCCAAAGAAAATAAAATCACTGTATAGAAAAGACATCTGCACATCCATGTTTATTGCAGCACTATTCACAATAATCAAGATATGGGATTAACCTAAATTTCCATCAATAGATGGATGGATAATAAAAATGTGGTATACACACACAATGGAATATTATTCATTGTGCTGTAAAAAACAATAAAATTCTGTCATTGTGGTACCATAGATGAACCTGGAGGACACTGTAAGTCAGGCACAGAAAAATTAATACTACATGTTCTCCCTCATGCGGTAGCCAAATAATAATAAAAAGACCTCATATAAGCAGAGAATAGAATTCTGGTTATTACACTCTGGGATAGATATGGGGAAGGGAAGGATAAAGAGGAGCTTGTTAATGGATACAAAATTACAATTATATAAGAGGAAAAAGTACTAGTGTTCTATAGCATTGTAGGGTCAATGTAGTTAACAATAACTTATTGTTCGAAAAGCTAGAAAATAGGATTTTAAATGTTCTCAACACAAGTAATAAATATTTGAGATGATGAATATTCTAACTTGATCATTACACATTATAAACGTATCAAAATAGCATTCTGTGTTTTAGAAATATATACAATTATTACATGTAAAGTAAAAATAAAATAAAAAAGTGTTGTTAAAAGATATGTGGTACTTTTATAGTATACTATACTCAGCAGCACTTAACATTAATATGACATTATATAAACAGATATGAAAGCTATTCAAATAAAAATGAGCAGAATTTAATTGCTTTCATTCATATTGAAATATACAAAAAATTCAAACCTTCAGGTATGTATTTAATTTAATCGCATTTGTACTGAAAATTTCATAAACTCAAAAAACAATCTAAAACAATACATACCCAATTTAGTAGGAGTGTAAAATGAGTGATAAATGGAAATGAGCATAGAGTGCAATTTAGACATATAACTGGTTTGACTTACTTAACAGTCAATGTATTCAATGTATGTATGTATTACTTAGAGTGTTTAATGTAAGTATATGAACAATGCAATGTTACCATTGTATTTATTTTAAAAATACAAACTAGGAGTTTACAAGTAAGATATGGACTCCCTTTTCTTGTAAAATATTCAAAAATCTTTCTAACCATTCAAAATACCTTTCCCCATATCTCTCTGCATAGAGAACTGGTCATCTACTCAATTTATGAAAATGATCACCCTGTGTCTTTGTTCTTCATAATATTTCTCACACATAAAATCCCTTAATAAGCTGAGTGTGGTGGCACGCACCTGTAGTCACAGCTACTCAAAAGCCAAGGTGGGAGGATCACTTGAGCACAGGAGTTCGAGGCTACAGTGAGTTATGTTTGCACCACTTGCACTGCAGTCTGGGAGACACAGCGAGATCTTATCCTAAAAAAATTAAAATAAAATAAAACCCTTAATAATTGTAATCAGAATTGTAGAAAACTCTACTCACATATCAAAACCTCTGAGATTATTTTTCTAACTACCTCAAGCCACCTTTAACACCCCTTCTTGGTGTCCCTGTGATATTTGCGCTTACCCATCTTCTATATTTTGTCATATTGTATTCTACATTTCTGCATACTTATCTTCCTTATAATACTGAAAATTTTTATTTGACAGAAATATTGTCTTTCCACATATTTGCTTGTTGTTCCACTGAATGAATAAAGAAAAAGAGGAAAGGGAAATGTAAGGAAATATAATTATTTTCTGGTAAATTGTTTCAACATAAATTGAAGACAACTGGTTTGAAATTACTTTGAATCAGTATAAATTTATTATAGTCTACACTAATCCCAAACACTGTATTGCATTAACAATTTTCTGATTATCATGTTAAGTTTTGAGACATACTCTGGAATCAGTCTCCAACAAAATTTAATTGTCAGCATTTTATTCCTAGTTTAACTACATAATGAAGAAAATGAGGGAATGAAGGGAAGGAAAGTCACATATGCTTTTGAGGAGGAATAATATAATGGTTTATGATGTCTCTGGCTAAATCTTACATCCTGTATGCATCTCTTCACAAAAATAATGTAAAACAACATGAATTGCTGCTAACCACTATGTTAGTTGCATTGTTGACATTATCCCTTAAGGAAGGTTTTGGGTAGGTAATCATATTTATGACACAAATAAGAAAATAAGCTAAGAATGTTCAATTGGTTTGCTCAAAGCTCTTCTACCATGAACTTATGGAGCTGGAATTTGAACCCAAGTATAAGTATAAAGTTTGTGATCTTTACATTAAACCTTAGAAGATGTATACCCCACAGTGCTTTTAAATGTAAAATGACATAATGCATTGCAGAGTGCTTTGAGCTTCAGGAGACATTGCATTAATGTAATGGATTTCTAAAGAATATAGGGCTGATACATCTACACTTCCATTATTTTTGTCATCAGCCTTCATTTGATGCACTTAACTAAGTAGAAAAGCCCGTACTCAAACATACCCTAAATGAAAGTTACAGTCTGGTCTCAACTCATAACAAAGTAGAGATTCCACTGCTTGTGATATAGATGCACCCTCTTCCAAGCCCACAAGCCCAAATGGTAGCAGCTGACCCAAGAAATCTTAAACAAGCCTGTTTTTCAGAGCCTGTCCGCTCTGAATAGAGTCCTGAAACCTTCCATCGGCCTATTGCAGGCCTAGCTTATGACATAAAAGAGCAAGTGAGCACCGCTTTACCTCACTAGCGGTCCCATGCATATCAGGATGAAAATCCACCTGGCCCGAGGGAGCCACCTGTTCTCTTATGACCTACAGCTTTTCCAAATCAGCTCAGTTATAGATAGTTTCCAGGTGTCTAAGGCCCCATGGTCTTGGAGTGGTGATGGCCTCCCCATAGTGTCAGAGAAAGAAGCCTTTGGGGGTAACTCTTTAGAGCTAATACCTTAATAAGAGGACAATTAAGAAGGAGGAAGCATTGGGTCCTCAACTGTCTCTGGGGACTGTCTCTCAGCAGGATTGCTTGAATGTCAGAATTGTTGGTTCTTAAAATTATCGTATGTATATATTGAGAAAAGAAAGATGATGCCTCAGTTCTTTGTTTTAAATAACGCTTTTTATTTTTAATATAGACAAATATTAAAACACTGGCATCATTCATGTTACATTAATATTAGGTTTAATTTTATTTCATAATTTTCATATTTATGTTAAATATTTAAAACATATTAGACTTTACAAGTTTATTGCATAATCCAAGCTTTTTGTTGTGATATACACTCTATTTCCTTCATGATTCTTTAGAATAAATGTTATAGAAATTAATTATATGAAATACATCAAAATATAATTTTCAGCTGAGGTTGAACAAGGAAGCAATGATTTCTAGTTTCAGCTTTTATGCTATTAACAAATGTCCTTTTTTACTTAGTGCAACCTTTTTCTCATGTTTTGCTTCTTATTGATGATCCCACTGTTTAAATGGCCCTGAAGTGTAATGCTGAAGTGCTATCAAGTTTTTCCAATTGCAAGGAGGCCATCTTGTGCCTTATGGAGAAAATAACGTTGCTAGGTAAGCTTCATCCAAAAATGAGTTATAGTGCTGTTGGTTGTGAGTTCAAAGCTGATGAACAACAATACAGTTTCCTTTGAAAAAGAAGGAAGTTTATCTAGCTGTATATGATGTCACTTTGGAAAATGCTTCAGTAGCATTTATGATGTGTGATAAAGGTGTGGAAAAATGTGTGTTAAATAAAATTTATGAGAAGCCATTGTTCTGAAGTGAGCTCCTGCACTAGGTCCCAACAAACTAAACCAAAATGGAGTCACTTGTGCTAGGTACCATGTAATCAAACAGAAACTCTAAAGGATCACGAGGTCAGGAGATCGAGACCATCCTGGCTAACACGGTGAAACCCCGTCTCTACTAAAAATACAAAAAATTAGCCGGGCGTGGTAGCGGGCGCCTGTAGTCCCAGCTACTCGGGAGGCTGAGGCAGGAGAATGGCGTGAACCCGGGAGGCGGAGCTTGCAGTGAGCCGAGATCGCGCCACTGCACTCCAGCCTGGGCGACAGAGCGAGACTCCGTCTCAAAAAAAAAAAAAAAAAAAAAAAGAATCACAGAAATCCCCAACCAGACCAGTTTTTCCTAAAAATAAGATAGTCACAGGAAACAATCAGAAAAGGCCCAGTCTGTGCTGGCATGATTAATAAATACCCTCTGCTTTAACTCTTAGGAAGAAATTAAAAGTAACTTAATATTGACCAATTTTCATTTTGTGTTATTCTGTTTCCTTGTTCCTGCTCAACCCTCAACCTGGTTTGCAAAAAACAACTGTTACACCCTATCCAATGGAACTCCTTTTACTTCTTTTCTTTTCTTTTTTTGAGATGGAGTCTCACTCTGTCGCCCAGCCTGGAGTGCAGTGGTGTGATCTCGGTTCACTGCATACTCCACCTTTGGAGTTCAAGTGAGTCTCTGCCTCAGCATCCTGACTAGCTGGGACTACAGGCGTGCTAATTTTTGTATTTTTTGTAGAGATGGGTTTTTGCCATGTTGGCCAGGCTGTTCTTGAACTCTTGGCCTCAAGTGATCTACCCGCCTCAGCTTCCCAAAGTGCAGGGATTACAGGCATGAGCCACCTTACCAGGCATCCTTCTATTTTTAAATGGGATGCCGCATGCTTCACAACTCATTAATAAAAGCCATTTTGATCTTTAAATTTGTTGAAATTAGGTTTTTTAATGGAGGAAAAAAAGGCTAAACTTGTGGATTAATGAGATGTAAACTAATAAAAAAAATAAGTGTAGGCAACAGCATTGTTGTGAGGCTGAAAGCCAAAGAAATTTATATTAAAGTTACCCAGGGTAAGAAAAATGTCAAAATCTCCTTGGCTGGTGTTGGCTGGCATATACGTTTGAAAAGACGATAAGGCATGAAAAAGTTTAATCTTGCAACTGAGGTAGGTTCTGCATATCAGGAAGCTACAGAATTTTTTAAATGCCTGCTAAGGGTTATACAGGAAAATAATTACGTGAAAGAGCAGGTTTTCAATGCTGATGAGACTGGCTTATTATACAAGGACACTACCAAGTAGACCTTTATAATGCAAATGGCTTCCAAATCCCCTGGCTTTAAATTATTAAAAAGCTGTGCAATTACTTACTTTTAAGAACTACATATTAAATAATATGTTTTTAAACAGCACTACCCACAAAACAAGATTATGTGTTGATTGACTGACAAAAATATTGTGACCAGCAGCTTGTAGAAAGCTAACCTTAGGAGGAGTAATGAATGGTTCCATATTTGTTAATTCCGTGTTCATGGCAATGGTTATGAAGTAGTCTTGTTTTCTGAGGTGTTATCCAGAGTTCTTTGTCTCAAGATCATGAAAAATAAGGAGTGTGGACACCAAGGGTGAGGTTGGAGCGGAAGTTTAATAAATGAAAGAGGAAAGCTCTCTGCAGCTGAGAGGGGGTCCAAGAGGGTTGCTGTTTCACAGTTGAATACAATTGTTTTTATAAGAATCTTCCCTTATCTGTGTAGCTGCCTGTGTAACTTCCCTTATCTGCACAGCTGCGGGCATGTCTTCTCTAAAAAAGAGAGAAATATGCTCAACAGAGCTCACCGTGTACATGTCTGTAAAAAGGGAGGAAAGAAGTTTTTCTTCCCTGGAGCCCGAGGTATTACACAAAGGGCAGAGACGTTTCTATGTTGGGCCTTACGCCCTTATCTGTGTCTGTAGCTTTATTTTTCCCCAGGCTGCTCTTTTGTTTGAAAGAATTTCACTAAGTACCTGCCCTAATTCTGTCTACCTAGCTTTTTTTTTTCTCCTCTCTCAGTTACACAACATAGCTACTGAAAAGAATGAGAATTGACTCTCTGTGTGTGTGTGTGTGTGTGTGTGTGTGTGTGTGTGTGTGTGTACACATATATATCTTTGGCCAGGCTCACTCTCTGTTACTTTTTTTTTTAATTGACAAATAAAAATGGTGTATCTTCATGGTGCACAACATGATGTACTATATATATATATGTAAATATGTTGTGGAATAGATGTATTAGGCTACACTTCTTCACATGTTAATCATTTTGTGGATATGGGAACACCTAAACTATACTCACTTAGCAATTTTCAAATATATATTATATCGTCAGCTGTAGTCATAATGATGTACAACAGATCTCTTGCACTTATTCTTCCTACGTAACAGAGATTGTGTCCTTAATGAGATCTCTCCAGTTCCCCACCTCTTAGCCTCTTGTAACCATCATTTTTACTCATTTTATTTTCTGTTTCTATGAGTTTGACTTTTTTAGATTCCACATACATATGAATGAGATCACATATCATTTGCTCTTATATGAATTAATTGTTTTACTTAAAAATGACCTCCATATTTATACATGCTGTTACGAATGACAAACTTCTTTCTTTTTTAAGCCTAAGTAGTATCCCATTGCATATATATCTGCCTCATTTTGTTTGCACCCTCTTTCACCTGTGAAGAAACTCTTGGGCTGAGGGGATCTCTCTTGGCATTGCACTGTGCCAGGTAGGGAGGAGGGTAACTTGGGCAAGGGAAGCTTTTCCTTTTATCTTCTTCAATGTGCCTTTTCTCATTCTCTGCTCCACTACAGGGCTGCAATTTCTCTCTTACATTCCAGATCTCTCACAAAGATATTTTTGTCCATGGACAGTTATTAAATTTGTGATTTTGTGAGGGAGGAGTACCAGGACTGTCTATTCTTCCATTTTGCTGACCTAAACCTAAATTATTTGTCATCATCTCCTTAGAAGCCAAAGCTCCCTAATAGCTCTCTCTTCCAGATTCAAGGTTAACATTTTTCATGCCTTATTGTTTTTTCAAACATGTGAGTCAGCCAACACCAGCTAAGAAGACTTTGACATTTCTCTTACCCTTGGTAACTGAAATGTAAATTTCTTTGGCTTTCAGCCTCACAATAATGTCATCCCTTATACTTGTTTTTTTATTAGTTGACATTTCATCAATCCATACATTTAGCCTTTTATTTCTGTTAAAAATTTTTCAACCAATTTAGTCTAAAGATCTAAATGATGTTTATTAATGATTCATGAATCATGAGTCAGGGCCAGATTGTAAACTAGAATCCTTAGAGACATTGTGTCTTTAACAAAACTGGCTCTGGGGGATTTTCTATTGAAAGCTCTTTTCAGGCAAGGAGTGGTGCCCTCATAAAGCCTTTGCCTATTGAAACAACACAGGCAACACAGATTTTATCCTGGAGCTAAGCCTGGTGAGTCTTCCCTGTCTCCCAGCTCACAGGTGCATTTTTAGGACACAGTGATAGACGAAGAGAAAGAGGAGAATAGAAGGGAGGAAGAGAAGACAAAAGCTTTGAGGAAAGAAGACTAAGGATGAAGCTTAAAGAATAAGAAGAATCAAGGCTCAGAAGGGTCATATAATACTAGGAGAAATTTTGGATTTCAGCCTAAATTGATTTGGGTTACATTTTAGAAAAAATAAGTCTTTTCACATCTAAAGAAATAATAGCATAGTATCTTTCGAATATGGTCTAAGTGTCTTAAAATAAATATCTATTTAAAACTGATTACATATTTAGGGTTATTTATTATCTCTATTTTATGGATGTAGGAAATGAGATATAGAGATGTTAAATTATGTCTGCAAAGTCACATAGCTAACAGGTAATGTTCATTTGCTTTGACTACAGAATGAATTAATTATGAAGCTGGGTTTCAACACTCTTATTCTGACTGCAGAGTTCACACTTCTAAGCACTGCAAAATACTGTGTTATTATCAACTGAAGACACAATAATGGTTTGAACTAGTCCCGATAGGATGGAGCCAAATTTATTGTTTTTAAAGATACTAGAGATGTAGACTCAATAGTATTTTTAATACTATGGAGAGGATACACCTTAGATTTTTTATCTAGCCAGTCCACTGAATGATAATGACATAAAAAGATTACACAATTTCATTGCTCTGTGTGTCTTCTGACTATTTCTATGTGGTATTCATGTCACTGTCTACTTAACAAACTATTCAGACCCTGTCTTACTATAGAAATAATTATCTGAGTTGACAGATATAATTTCCCCATTATTTTATTTGCAAACACCGAATACAATGTCCTCTACCTCTCTTACAAAAAACACACAAATATATAGCTTATTTATTTCCTTTAATGATCAGCTTTGCACTTATTAGCTAAAGTAATTTTTTTATTTACTGAGATTCTATTACATATGAGAAGTTTGAAAAGGAAAAATACAGTTTTTGTAGCTTTCTGAGACTATTGCCTGTATTTCTGTTCTTCAGAGATGTTATTCAGGAATACAGAAAGTTTAATTGAATTAGAAAAAAACCCACTGGCATATACAGTGATAAATCACACACACACACAAAAGTGTTTTTTTGTTTGTTTGTTTGTTTGTTTTGTTTTGTTTTGAGATGGAGTCTCACTCTATTGCCCGGGCTGGAGTGCAGTGGGGCTATCTCGGCTCACTGCAAGCTCTGCCTCCCGGGTTCACGCCATTCTCCTGCCTCAGCCTCCCGAGTAGCTGGGACTACAGGCGCCCACCACCACACCCGGCTAATTTTTTGTGTTTTTAGTAGAGAAGGGGTTTCACCCTGTTAGCCAGGATGGTCTCGATCTCCTGACCTCGTGATCCACCTGCCTTGTCCTCCCAAAGTGCTGGGATTACAGCCTTGAGCCACCACGCCCAGCCAAAAAAATGCTTTTATAATTGAATCCTACTTTCACACCTTTTGTTGTCCATGTCACACCTTCTTATTCACTGTTCAATTACAAGGTCAAAACATTATACAAGAAAGACTGTTCTACACATTCCACATTGCGTCTCATGCAAATAACATCAACTTTTCTTAGCCTTTCCTCTTTTCAAATGTTTACCATTTCCTTCTAGGAGTTCCCTATTTCCCCATCCATATTACAGTGCTCCTCCCATCACCTGTTTATCATGGAACCTCCTCTTCTTGGCTTTGCTTCTCTCATGTTAATGTTTAGCCCACATCCTGATTGTCTTCTGGAAACTATAGTCATAATTAGTATTGCTGCTCTGGAATCCTCCAATGATAAAAAATGAACAAAAGACTTTTTACTATATAATAATTATACTTAATGAATGATTGAATGCCTTGAAAATACTCCTCTAACAAATGCCATAAGGTACATGAAAATATGTAAAAACAATTTAGGTAGCTTTAGAAATGATATATATATATTTTTTTTTTACTTCTAATAACTCAATGCTCAGATTGTATTTTTCTCTTTCTAGTCTTTTCTTCAACATGTTTTTCATCTATCTTAAACACTCAAAATCTAAGTGTCTCAGATTTAAAATAAAGATACTGATATCTCTTATTCAGACGCATGTGTGTTTAAAAGAGATTACCTGTGTTACTGTGTGTGAGAGGAGGGGAAGTTTGGCAAATATGACTCAAATAAGATACAAATCATCTCTTCCTTATTTCTACTCTCTTTCCATTTTAATTCATTATTTTCCTACTTCCTTTTTCTGATTCTATAATTATAGATATTTCATGCATATAGTTTGATGAGTCCTTAAACTAGTTGAGGCTCAGACACTTTGTAAAATATGGTTAAATATGCTCTCCCATATGTTTACAGAGATGATATCTGCTATTTGCACAGATTCTAACATAGAATTTCAAGTAGGAAACAGTACATTAATAAATGGTAGTTGATGCTGCTGTTTTACTACATTTACTTCATTATTGTGTAATAATGATGAATGAATAATAATAAATGGGCCAAGTTTAATTCTTTAAAAACATGGATAGAACTAGAGGACATTATGTAAACTGAAGTAAGCTAAGCACAGAAAGACAAATGTCTCCTGTTCTCATTAATATGTTGTATCTAAAACAAAATTGATCTCATGCAAATAATGAGTAGAATGATGGTTACCAGAGGTGGGGAAGTGTGTAAGGGTGAGGGCGGACAAAGGGAGGTTGGTTAATGGGTACAAAAATATAGTTAGATAAAATAAATAAGTTATAGTGTTTAATAGCACAGTAGGGTAATTATAGTTAACAAAAATTTGTAGTATATTTCAAAATAGCCATGAGAGAAGATTTGGAATGTTTCTAACACAAAGAAATGATAAATGTTGGAGATTATGGATATCTTCATTACCCTGATGTGATCATTACACATTTTACACATTACACGTATGTATCAGTATACCACATGTACCCCATAATTATGTGCAACTATTATGTATTAATAAAATTAACCTGCACTGAAAAAATATTTTCAATATTTTAGATTACATCTTAATGAATCTGTGTTTTCATTAACAACTTCTTACCCATTTTGTATGTTAACACCTGTGTGTTGCCATCTAACCAAATGGAACAAATAGAAATCACTATGGGGCCTGACAACTCTATGTATGTCTGAATTGAAAGTAAATTCTGTGTGATGGTAAGAGAAGGTAATAAATGAAATAGGTATTAAGATAAAATTGTAGCATAATATCAGTGATGAGACCATTGCAAACTGATGAGAAGAAAAGCATTAAAACAGAGGAATATGTTATGTCAAACTTTTTATTACCATCCACTGCTTAAATTCATCCAGACCCTTCTCACTGAGAATTCACATTTTCGATTGTTCTTTATGTAGTACATTTCTAATCGTGTGAATTTTTTTGGTTTTCAATTCTGCAGAATTTTACCTGTTTTCCTGCTGATTGGCACACATACAGTCATAAAGATCATGGACTTATGCATTCACAAGCAGGATGTTCCTTCCCAATAACACCCAGTTTCACCCCTCCTCCTTCCTGTTGCTGGGGATCCCAGGGCTAGAAACACTTCACATCTGGATCGGCTTTCCCTTTTGTGCTGTGTACATAATTGCACTCATAGGGCGCTTCACTATTCTACTTGTGATCAAGACTGACAGCAGCCTATACCAGCCCATGTTCTACTTCCTGGCCATGTTGGCCACCATTGACTTGGGCCTTTCAACAGCTACCATCCCTAAGATGCTTGGGATCTTCTGGTTTAGCCTCAGGGAGATTATCTGTGATGCCTGCCTCATCCAGATGTTTTTCATCCACAACTTTACTGGCATGGAGTCAGCAGCCCTCGTGGGAATGGCTTATGACCACTTTGTGGCCATCTGCAACCCGCTACGATATAGCATCATCCTCACCAAAAAGGCTGTTTCTGTGATTGGTCTTGGTGTGTTAGTGAGGTCATTTATGTCTGTTATTCCATTTGTTTTTCTCATTTTGCGGTTGCCCTTCTGTGGGGATCATGTCATTCCCCACACCAACTGTGAGCACATGGGTCTTGCTCATCTGTCTTGTTCCAGTATCAAGATCAATATAATCTATGGCTTGGGTGCTATTTCAATCCTAGTATTCGACATCATAGCCATTGCCCTTTCTTATGTGCAAATACTTCACGCTGTTTTCCATCTTCCTTCCTGTAAAGCCTGACTCAAGTCCCTCAGCACATGTGGTTCACATGTGTGTGTAATCCTTGCCTTCTATACACCAGCCCTCTTTTCCTTTGTGACTCATCGCTTTGGCCAAAATGTGCCCCGCTATATCCATATACTCCTAGCCAATCTCTATGTTGTGGTGCCACCAATGCTCAATCCTGTCATATATGGAGTCAGAACCAAGCAGATCTATGACTGTGTGAAGAAAATATTCTTACAAAAATAAGAAATTGAAAAGAAATAGCATCTAATACATATAAGAAGGACTTTTTGAGCACAGAAATACCTTCCTACAGTAAATTTAAGCTTATTTGACAGCTCCTCCCTGTAAGTATGTTATTGAATTAAGAAAGCTAAAGCCTAAGCTTTGATATTCAATTTATATGATAAATGAATTAAGAAAGCTAAAGCCTAAGCTTTGATATTCAATTTACATGATAAATGACAGTCAATCAGAGTTTTTGTATGTAATTTTTATCAATTATGGCAGTAAATTTAAAGTAGGATTTTAGAAAGCCTGCCGTGTTTTGTGCACTATCCACCTATGTCATTCATGCAGGTGTTTTCATGTTTCTCGCTCCTTTATCTCCAGGCCTGTCTGTATCTGTTTCTCTCTTCTTACTGTGCATGCCATCCTATCTTTCCTTTTTGTTTTTACTTCTTTTTATATCTAGAAATACCAGTCATTTTTATTCCATAATAAAGACTATATTATGATATATTATTATTTTATGAAGATTATTAACATCCAAAATTGGTTCTATGAACTTAATACTGATTTTGGCCATGAAAAGACAGTGAGAAAGTAAATGAAACCACAAACAGATTCATTATAAATTTTTGTAAAAGTTGTTATAAATATATTTAGTTTTTTTATGGACCAAACCGTGATTTAAACATAATTAAGGAACCAGTTATATCCTAGAGAGATCCCTTGTTTTTCCCTCCATAGTTTTATTTGTTTTCTAATTTATTTTTAGATTAATCCTGCAGTTATTTTCTTCTTTTTCCTGCCTTTACTTACATGATTTTAATATTAAAAAATTTTGGGTTTATTCCTAGTTCTGTCTTTAATATATGTTTAATATATGTTCTATCTTTAATGTATGCTTAATGTTCAATGTTCCTTAATTTCTTTATGTTATAAATATGGCCTATTTCATAGATTAAGCATGAAGGGCTTAATTATATACTGTTTCTAAAATAGAATACTGCTCTGCATGTTATCTATAGTAAATACGAAATAGTTGTTCGCCATTACTAGAGTCATCTTATTACTTGCATTACAGTGTTTTTTAAATCCTGATGCTTGACAACATTGTTACAATTAGAGATGTTTATATTCATAAAATTTCATTTTATATCATATAATATTCCCTGAAGTTGGGATCCAGCTAAAGGACAATTAGTGTTAAATGTATACATATATGTATTCATTGTAGACACATACACGTAACTAACATGCAATTAATTTAAAATTTTGTGAAAATTTGATTTCCTTGAAGTTCTTATTGGAGGGAAATTGATAAAAATGCCAATTTTTCATAAGTCCATCGTAAATTAGATTTGTATTTTTCATATATATGTTTTAACGTAACCTCTTAGTCTCTAAAAAGAAATATACATTCAGAAATACTTATTTACAAAATTTATTCTTATCTTGCTACATCTATAATATGAGGAAAGCTGTCTTCACAATATTTTGTAATCTCAGCTCATATTCTTTTTTTGTTTGTTTGTTTGTTTGTTTTTTGTTTTTGAGACAGAGTCTTGCTAAGTCACCCAGGCTGTAGTGCAATCGCATGATATCGGCTCACTGCAACCTCTCCCTCCCGGGTTCAAGCGATTCTCCTGCCTCAGCTTCCCGAGTAGCTGGGATTACAGGCCCCCAGCACCATGCCCGGATAATTTTTGTATTTTTTAGTAGAGACGGGGTTTCACCTTGTTGGTCAGGCTGGTCTCGAACTCGTGACCTCAGGTAATCCACCTGCCTCAGCCTCCCAAAGTGCTGGGATTACAGGTGTGACCCACCACGCCCAGCCTGCTCATATTCTTATAACCTCACTTCTATGTTCCTCTTCTCAACTTTCTATTCCTCCTTTCTTGTTTTTAGGTGATGACTCTATTTGTAAAGTCCTTTTGTCACCAGCCACTTTCAGTCATCTTTTCAGCCAATTTTATTCTGTTAGATATTTTCCTTTCTGTCTCTGCTGCTATTGTCTAAATAGTGTTAATAGTAACTGGCATATGATATTTTGAAATTGACTACATTCTCCATGCCAGATATCTCTCCCAACTTAACACCCTTCTTGATCCTTACTCTGTGGAGATATGCCAATTTTTTGATAAAATCTACAATACAAATATACATAAAGCTTAATATAACAACTTTCAATTGTTGCCCATCATCCTCTCTCCCCTGGATGGTAGGAAACTTGTCATTTATTTATTCCTTCAGTGACTCACAATGTAACTCACATGTCTACTCAATAAATGTCAGCTGAATGAATTGATCTAGTTTAAAATAAGAAATTCATGTGTTCATAATTACTCATCGTATACTACAAGAAAGTTGGTATTAAATGTATCAATTGGTGTAAGTTACAATTGGAAAAAAAGTTTTATGCACAAACAGGCTATAGAGAAAATGCACTGAGAAGTAAAGGACTTAATTCTAAAAGCAGTGATTGAGGGAGTGAGGACACATATTCAATTAATTTATTCATGCAAAATGAAATGTAAATTTGTAGATTACCTTTGGAGAGTGTTTCTAATGTTGTAGAATAATTGTCTTAAAAATGCTTATAACCATTCTCCTGGTTAGTATGCCTTACGTTGCAAATTTTTTAAAAATTGTGTAAGTTTACTTTAACTGTAATGAAATATATTATTTCATATAACAGTAAGCCCAGTGCTGGGCAGGATGCAATACTGATTGTTTTAGCAGCCCATGACGTAATTAAGGATTTGCTTTCTCTCCAGCCTTTTAGAAGTTAAACACTTCTATCAACAAAGATATAGACATCTTCTTTTCATGACTGATTGTCCAGAATTAGGTTGTATGACAATTTCTAAACTTTCCCCTGATAAGGAGGTTGAATTTACCATTACTGTTGTATACGAATCATCTTAGGTAGGATAGGTTTCTGGTAATCAATGTAATATGCCATGCATCAAGTGATTTAGCTTCTCAAAATTTCTTCATGGTTAATTGTAATTTACTCATTCAATATGTAATTATAAAGAGTATATTCAGTGAGAAATATCTTTTCTGAAGATACAAATGTTAAAAGATAAGTATGGAAACTCTTACACAAATAATAAACGTTCAGAAATTTGGCCAGGTGCGGTGGCTCACGCCTGTAATCCCAGCACTTTTAGAGGCCGAGGCTGATGGATCATCTGAGGTCGGGAGTTTGAGACCAGCCTGACCAACATGGAGAAAACCCGTCTCGACTAAAAATACAAAATTAGCCAGGTGTGGTGGCACCTGCCTGTAATCCCAGCTACTCAGGAGGCTGAGGCAGGAGAATCACTTGAAACCGGGAGGCGGACGTTGTTGTGAGCTGAGATCGTGCCATTGCACTCCAGCCTGGGCAACAAGAGCGAAACTACAACTCAAACAAAACAAAACAAAAATAAAACTTCCAGAGATTTACATATAATTATATCTATGTAATCATAGGTATCATATACATATTACAACTTGCAATTTTAAAATGTTGAGAAAATGTACAATATTGTGGAATAATTAAATGAGCATATATTACATATTAAGATGATACACTGATAAAATCTGAGAAAAAGTTTCACTATTTTATATTGAGTGAAAAATAAGAGAAATTAAAAAAATTGACATTCTTTTAAAGGCATAAATGTGTACAAAGATAAAGGGAAAATATTTTAGTGTTAGTGATTAGTGATTTTTATAAATATATTTGTGTGCATTTTATTTTATTATATATTTTTTTTCAAATTGACTAAAATAATAGGTGTTATTATATAATAAAATTATATAAATAAGAAATAAATATAAGTATAAAAGTGAAGTTGGTTGCCTAGAGCAGGGGTCCCCAACCCCTGTGCTGTAGACTCGTAACAGTCCATGGCCTGTTAGGAACCATCCGCACACCTGGAGATACTGTGGTATACTGTAGTCTAAAATGTAACTAATCTTTTTCCTCCATAAATAGTCCCCCTTTCTTTGTAGTGACGTAGTCAATTTGCGTCAATAATTAATCATTTTGTCAACAAATTTTTTATGGGACAACATTGCACACATCACAATATTAGGTACCACAGTACCTATCTATGTTCTATGTAATGGTACACAATGATCTATGTAATGATTTCAGGATTTTGCTCCTTAGTAGATGAGGTATTTCAGCATTATATTGTATAATGTTCCAAATAAAAATAATGTGTGTTATAAATGTGTAAGAAAGAGGGGAGGAAGCAGAAAATGGTGGTGGGAGGCATGAATAAGGTGATCAGGAAGGAATGCATAATCAAGCTTTATAGAAGGATAAGTTAATTTCTCTAGGCGAATAATAGGTGAGTACATTCTAGGACAAGAACAAGAAAATATTAGAAACACATGTCTTTGACTTAGCTTATTTCAGTGCATTTACAATGTGCATTCATTCTAATGAGGCTCTTTACAACACGGTAGAAGCAAATCAAAATTTTTCTTCTGATAGTTCTGTTACCACTTGTGCCATTCTGATTATTTCTGTATTTCCAACCCTCACTCATTCCTTGAGTTAATACTCACTTCAACGCTCTTTATTCTTATGTTATGATTCAAATATAGTTTTGTTTTGTCTTGTTCTCTGTCCTAAAAATTCCACATGAAATCAACCAAATAAAAGATCAAACAGTATATATGATATAGAATATTTTAGGGAGGGTGCTCAAACTTACATTTTTATTTTAGGCTTGATGATTGGACATGTCATTTTGTATGTACCAATTTTATATATTTTTTAAAAAACATTAGCTTTTATTTCTTTTTACACAAATATGAGATGGTTATGAAACACAAACAGTGCCTTGAGATTGAATGCCCATCTGAACATTTATTTTTTGTAAACTTTTTCTGAGGAACTGCACACTTTTGATTACCAGAGTCAGGGAAGTAGGTTTAAGTTATAACCAAATTCTTTTAAAAACAGGTGCCTCCTAAAGTGAGGGAAACACAAATTAATTCACCTTACTTCCTCTCTAAATAACTTCTTTCAGAGTTTCCCTTTTATAATGAGTATAAAGGTGAACAATTTAAAAAAAACTTTATCAAATGACCCAAGCAAAGTGCTTCCTTGTTTCTTTGACTGCAAGTCCTAACTCTAACACTGAAGATTAAAAATCTTAAGAGCACAATTTTATAAGTGTCTGTTTAATCTTTACTCAACAATATTTCTGTTAAATGAGTCTATTTTGTATGTAATGGCAGTTCCGTTGTGTTTGTTCTTTTTTGTTTGTTGCTTGTTATTGTTACATTATTTTGTTTCATCACTTCACAGATAGGATTTAATGAATACATTCCTTTAAAGAATACACACTACTTTATTTATATATTTTACCACTATCAGATATTTGACTTTAAAATTTTTCCCTATTATGAATAAAATCAGTACAAACGTTTTTATATATGTATTTGAGTAAACATAATTACTTATTTCTTTTGAGTATTTACTTAGGAGTAATTACTGGTTTATAGGTGATATAGTTTGGTTGTATCCCCACCCAAAATCTCATCTTCAATTGTAATCCCCATAATCTGCACGTGTCAAGGGCAGGACCAGGTGGCAGTAATTGAATCATGGAGACAGTCTCCCCCATGCCGTTCTCATGATAGTAAGTTCTCACTAGATCTGAGGGTTTTGTAAGTGTCTGGCATTTCCCTTGCTTGTACTCACTCTATCCTGCCACCCTGTGAATAAGGGGCCTGTTTTTCCTTTACCTTCCGCAATGATTGTAAGTTTCCTGAGGCCTCCCCAGCAATGCAGAACTATGAGTCAATTAAAACTCTTTCCTTTATAAATTACCCAGTGTCAGATAGTTCTTTATAGCAGTGCGAAAATGGGCTAATACAATAGGGGGTAGTTAGCCTGAATAGGCTCTTCCAGTTGCCAAACTGTTTAATAGTTATTCTGTATCTTTATGAACACTCAGGATTAGAGGTCTTAATTTTAGCCATACTGAATGGGTTGTAGGGTTGTTACACTGTGGTTTGCATTAGCATTTTTCCTGATGAGTAGTGGTGTAAATTTTTTTCTTCTACTTATTAACTATGTTCTTCTTTTAAGGTTCCAGCTTACGTTTGGCTCTTTTTTTATATTGAGTTGTTTGTCGTTTTTTATAAACTTATAGTAAATTCATTGCAGTATTTTACTGTATTATAAGTACTATAACTGATATATAATATATATCAATTATATTATATATTATATATAATATATACATAATGGAAACATCATATCTCAAGCAGTGGCTTCCTTATTCAATGTCTTAATGAAAATTTTGATAAGCAGAAAACTTGTATTTAAGTATGAGTTTTCATTATTTTCATTTTCCATGATTTGTTTTATGACCAGTTAAAATATTTTCTAATCAAAGGTAAGGTTATACATTGAAGGACCTTCTGTGAATTTTTAAAATAATCACAGAATTTTAATGAATAAGAAGCTGGGAAGCAAAGTGAGATGGCATTTAATTTTTTTTCTTTTTTTTTAGATGGAGTCTAGCTCTGTCACCAAGCTGGAGTGCAGTGGCACGATCTTGGCTTACTGCAACCTCTGCCTCCCAGGTTCAGGCAATTCTCCTGCCTCAGCCTCCCGAGTAGCTGGGGCATTTTAATTTTGCAACATTTTTACTTTTCTCATTCTATTCGAACATTCTGCATTTTGGACCTCATGGAAGGAATAAAAATAGAAGAAAGAGAACAAATATACAGAAACTGTTGGGTTTTGAAATGCCATGGAAGGAATAAAAAATAAAAGAAAGAGAACAAATATATAGAAACTCTTGGGTTTTGAAACCATAGCATAGGAAACCAGATTTAAGTATTTCTCCTATATTACATACATTTTCTTTACAAATTTGATGCTACCCAGTGATACCTAGGGATAGGTTGATGACGTGGGGAAGGATACTTGGAGGAGATGAAGAAAACGTAGATAGTAATGGAATCTGCTTGAGAAAAAAATGTATTTTATGTCGTGTCTTTTTAGGGTAGGCCCAGTGATGGCAGTAAATTTTGAGTCCTCTTTTGTTTTAAGCTTTTAGGAAGAAAGAAGATCAGGTCTCTATTCCTGTTAAGTTTAGCAAAAGGGCAAAATCCCCATGTTGGTATGGTTGCAACTGTGTGCACAGAGCATCAAAATAACTTTACAGAATTATTTCTGGGACTTACAATTGAATAACAACAATAAAGATTCCACAGTAACACAGTATCACAAAAGAGCATGGAATCTGAATTCTTGAAACATTTTAATTGACTCCAATTATGTCTTATAATCTCAAAGTAGCATAGAAAACACATAATCTGAATGTGTTTAGGAAGGCAGCAGGAGGAAGACACTGACAGATGATTCGGATGGAAATAAGACAACTAAAATCAACAACTTCAAAGGACGAATGATGAGGGCATAAATTGTTTAAAGCACATCTCCAAAATTTTCAGCATTACAGATGGGTTTAGATACATCTGGAAATGGGACGGCATCTAAAACAACTGTTTATGTTTCTGCCGTGTCAGTGGATTGGAAACATAAAGTTTTACTTATGAAACAAATTAAAAAAAACTACATTTGCTTCATTATTGCTTATTCTAGGAGTGCCTATTGCTTAAATGTCTCAGAAAGCATAATTTTTTTTCAAATTTAATAGTAACAGTGCCACATGCATGTTAATTTAAAATATCATGCTGAAAGGGTACAGTTAATATCAACCATCCTTAATCCCAGCCAACCTAATCTCCAGTTCTATTCCCTGAATACATTCACTATGAAATCTTCTAGATGTATATTCTGGCACTTAATTATACATTACCTTATGATGGGTTTATTTAAAAATGTGGTGATTCATTCTGTTCAAACTGGATTTATTAATTACCTGCTATATACATGAGAATTTAGATTAATTATATTAATATTCACTCAGACTACCCAACTTCTTGTCTTACTTTCTGTCTCACTGTGTGTGTATATATATATATACACACACACACACATATGTATATATATATGTATATGTGTGTGTGTCTGTGTGGTTGTATATAGGTATGTGTGTATGTATGTGTTTGTATATATATTTATATATACAATACACATTTCATATGATTTTTTCTACAATTAAGTAATATAGTGTTATTTTTATTACTTTACTACTTTTATTATTTTATTAATATAGTGTTACTTTCTACAATTAAGTAATGTAGTATTACTTTATTTTTACTCATTATATTAAAGAGATATTTTGATTTACACTGTAAATTAAGCATACTATCGATACATTTTTTTCCTTTGGCTTTTGTATATTTCACAACTCTAAATATAGTACTTCCTATTATTTTATTTTTATGTATTTTAAAATTCATTTTTCTTAACTCAAAGCCAGTAAGATGAGCCTGCATGGAAAAGAGATAAGAGGCTTTATCTTATCTGATAACCATGATATCTTAATAAATTATTGGTGAGTGCTAAAGCATTGATGTGGGAAAGGGGATACATCCATTGGTAATTGATGACCTAAATCTGCACTATTGCAACATCTCATAAATTCAGATGTAAAATTTACCCAAGAGATTCAGTTTGCCTTGTGTGAATGTTTTGGGAACATTATCCTTATGTATCTGACTTCCTATTGACAATGTATGTGTCAGAAAAGAGGATGGGAAGGGGTGTCTACTTCTGCTCTAGTCCCTCCATCCCCAGTGTAGAAAATGGGATCTTTCCCAGGAGACTCTGAGCAAAGTAATTACTGGTTGATAGAAGAAATTTGAGTTGGCTGTAATTCTAGACATGCCCCACAGGGCCCTAAATACTTGCAGATTAAAACTCTCTTCCCTTTAGTTGATATGATAGAGCTCTCTGTTGGAGGCGAGTTTCTCATTAAATGTGTCATAGATACGGAGAGTGATCAGAGGCTCTTGTCTAACAGCTAAGCAACAGGCTACAGCTGAACATATTAAGCTGATATTTGATACCTCACTATTGCAGAAATATTTCCTGACAGAAAGAGGTCTTAATGGATCAGGCTGGAACACTTAAATTTTTAAAGTAACTATCTGCAAAGGGAACTTTAAGTTGTGGTATAAATGAAAATTTCCACTTCCAGGGATAATCATGTATCAAGGCATAATTGTTAATAACAGCAACCACAATGATAATAGTAAACAATGTTATCAGAGGACCAGAGATACGTGCAGATTTATACATTTGATTGCAAAGAAGGTGGCAGAAAAATAAGAATACTAGATATAAAATTAATATAATCTTGCACAATTTACTGGCTGGGAAAACTATATTTTTAATGTCATTTATAAAATACTTTTCAAAATTTGGACTTTCTCCTCTTATTTTCTCTGGACTCAATTAGATTTAAGACCAACCTTCCTCCCTTCCTTTCTTCTCTTTTTTTCTTTCTTTCTCCTACTTTTCTTTTAAAAATATTTTCCGACTTTCCTGCCATTTCTATCTCTACTCCTCCATTTTTTCCTTCTTTTTGTAATAGTCCTATTTATCTTTTCTTTCTGGAAGGAAGGAAGAAGGAAGGTAAGAAGGAAGGAAGGGAGGAAGGAAGGAAGGGAAGGAGGGAGAGAGGGAGGGAGGGAGGGAGGGAAAGGGAATATCAGAACTGCAGTGTGGGAAATCAGTAACATAGATCTTTTTAGCCTGGTGTCAACCACTATCATTGTCTTTTTAAAATTTCTCTCAAGTTTCCTTATTTCAACAAATCTCCTTATTTCCCCACTCTCAACAAGATTAGATACAATTAATATTCCTGGGAATTTATCAACCAGTAGAAAATTTGGTCTTATTTATAAATTATATTCTCACCAGAAGACTACTGGCAAAAACACGCATTTCTCTTTTAGGGGTGATTTCCAGCTGCAGTGTTTTTCATCTTTCTGCAACTATTTTCATATCTGAAGTATTATATAATACAGTGTGTCCGTGGGGTATAGGAATAAACAT
This sequence comes from Homo sapiens, assembly GCF_000001405.40. Lineage (NCBI taxonomy): Eukaryota > Metazoa > Chordata > Mammalia > Primates > Hominidae > Homo > Homo sapiens. The sequence continues at coordinate 99,906 of NW_025791794.1, forward strand.
ATAAAGAATAAATTAATAAAGCATAAGTTTTTATTTTGGGTCTGACTTTCCAAATATGCTCCATGGAAATTACTGATACCAAATAAACCGGTTTAAGGATTCTGCTAGATTTTCTGTCATTCTTCACGGCTAGTTACACTCAGGTTTTTGTATATATTGTCATGTTTTGTGGGCAGATAGCAGTGTCTTTCTGTGATTTTGTACGTTGATCTGTATAATTAAGGTCTGCTTTGTCTTCAAAAAAGACTGACATCTCACTAAAACATAACCTTCATTTTCAAAATTCATTCCAGGTTTTGTACGGGGTTTGAACAAATGAGTATATTATTGTCCAGAACCTCAGAGGAAGACTCAGGTCTCCCTCTGAGTCATAAAGCTAATTTGTCTTCCAGTTGAAGAATGCCCAGTCTGTGTCTAGATCTGACTTTGGACTCAAGATTTGGCAATAATTTTCTAAGAAAAATAGAGATAAAATTAAGCTTATTGGAGATATTTTGAGCTAAACATTTATAAATTTTAATTTTCCTTCTAGAGGTGGTCAGCTAATACTTTTCTCGTCAATGGCAAGATGTTCCACACCACCACCACCATTTTCCACCCAGACACCTTTTTTCTGACAGGCATCCCGGGACTTGAGGCTTTCCATGGCTGGATTTCCATGCCCTTTTGCTGTATTTACTTGATGCCTCTGCTGGGCAATGCTACAATTCTACTGACAATCTGGTCTGATCGTACTCTTCGGGACCCTATGTTCTACTTTCTAGCCATCTTATCAGCCATAGACCTAGCCCTCTCAACATCCTCAGTGCCTCGTATGTTGGGTATCTTCTGGTTTGATGCACATAAAATTGGCTTTGGAGCCTGGGTAGCCCAGATGTTTCTGATACACACTTTCACAGGAATGGAGTCCACTGTGCTGCTGGCAATGGCCTTTGACCGCTATGTGGCCATCTGTACATCACTCCACTATACCTCTACTCTGACACCCCGAGTATTGGCAGGCATTGGTGTGAGCATTATAATGCGCCCAGTCCTGCTCATGTTGCCCATTCTCTACCTAACCCATCGTCTGCCCTTCTGTGAGGCTCGGATTATTGCCCACTCCTACTGTGAGCACATGGGTATTGCTAAGTTGGCCTGTGCTAGCATTCACATCAATGCTATTTATGGGCTTTTTGTGGCTTCTTATTTTGGATGTCGCACTTGTTGGAATCTCCTATACCTACATTCTCCGAGCTGTTTTCCACCTCCCATCTCAAGACGCTCGTCACAAAGCACTGAGAACGTGTGGCTCACATGTTGGGGTCATGTGTGTTTTCTATACACCCTCCCTCTTCTCCTTCCTCACCTACCGATTTCGCAAAAAAAATTCCCCGTTATGTCCACATTCTTGTTGCCAACCTCTATGTGGTCATTCCACCTGCCCTCAATCCTATTATCTATGGTGTGAGAACCAAGCAGATTCATGAGCATGTGGTCCATACTTTCACCTCAAAGTAAGGTCTCTTATTTCTTTACTTCTTGAGGGTGTGGATATGGCTGAGAGAAGTCAATTTTGAGACTTCACTAGGTAATTATTTTGTAAGTGAATTTCATATCAAGAGATTCTGCAAGTCCTAAAGGAACAAACTTTGGAGAATATTTTCCGGTCTTAAACCTCCATGTTGTCTCTCCTCATTCGTGTTGAGTGTTCTTCTGAATATAAAGTTTCATTATAGCAGGAGAACATATCCCACTGGAATCCCTTTCCGTTTTTAACTATGGAAATCAAGTGAAATTCTGTTTCTGTGTATTAAAAAACAGGTTAGTCTTCCAGTGGGTCACAATTAGTTGCCTGCAACTGTCTAGACTTTCTCCGCAAAAAGAACTAAATGAAAATTTAAAATGAAAAAGATCTTGGTAGAATTCTAATTTAACAATTTAAATACATCTTATTTTTCTGAGTACAACACTGGGATACTGAGTCACATTTTTTAAAACGTATGGTTTTTCCCTTTCATTTCAGCAGCCATTTTTTTGTTTTGCTTTTCTTAAGATCCTGTAGGCACTATGTGTCCTCACTGTACCACTGCCTCCCTTCTCATTTCTGGGAAAGCATGAAGTGAAAGTACCTGAAAAAAATACTTGTGTGAAAGAATACAAATCTTGTTTATAAAAGGAGCTGAATGCACAGAATTCTAAGACTTATTTTCCAAATTATGTTTAATCACTCTCTGTGTGTGTGTGTGTGTGTGTGTGTGTGTGTCTGTGTGTGTGCATGTGTGTATGTATGTGTGATACTTTTAGGCAACCCTCTATCAGACATCAGGGCAACTTCTTCTGCAAAGGTCTCTTTATTTGTGCAATGTAACGTACATACATCCTTTGAGGCTTGATGTTTCGCAAAAGTTGACGAATCTCAGATAATTTCAGATACAAAATAAATTTTCAAAGTCAGCTACTTTAACAGGAATTTGCTGGATGTTTTTCCACATATTTTGTGTAGCTATGAAGACATAATTTTGCTACAACTCCTGTGAGCCAAAGGCAATTTTGTGAATATTCTTTCTCAATTTACTATTGGCAGAAACTGACATGCAAAGAAAAATGATGAAGCAAAGCAGAAGAGTGACTGCTCAGGAGACTAGGAACTAATTTTCTGATGCCATGTTCATTGCATGATGGTGGAAAAATAACTTTACAATTTCTGGCATGATTAAAAGGATCAGAACAAAAATCTTTAGAGTTCAGAAATATGGGAGATAGATTAATTATATTTTCAGCAAAGATTGTCGACTAGAGATTTCAGGTAAAACCTTCTGGAAGGAACTAGTGGAGAATAACACAAGGAGTATCTGAATATATTTGTCTGAAGAACTGATTCCTGTGCTCTTAAGGAAGTGCCCTGTTCTCTTAAAGATAGGAACAAGAATATAATGAATTTTCCAGGGACTCTTTTTGTCAGTAGTTTATTCAATAGCATTCTTACCAGTGTTTTTCTCAACTTGGATTTGTATCTTAAGTACCACTCAAATTTAATAATGTTTCATTATACATCATTCTTCAAATAAACTAGATTTATATTATCTTCTCTTTAGAAGAAAAGTTTACACCTATTTACAGTTGGTCAGACAGGAGACACATGTAAGTAATCTTTAAGTAACAATGTACTCTACTAAACATTTCACAGATGTTTTTCATGTTCTAATAATGTATTTTATAGTCAAACTCTTCATTTTTTTCCAACCATCATTTTACTTTTTGTTTTCATGCCCTACAAGAAAAATACAAGTAAGCGTCAATGACAAAAGCATTGGAAATGTGTCTCGATTTCCAGTTTTCCCTCAGCTATTTAACCTACGTAAAACCCACTACAGGAAATATATGGTTGCAATAATAAAAATAGAGATGGGGTTCTGAAGGGCAGATTTCTAAGTAAGAAATTATTTTTCATGAGCAAAAACTGAAAGCACAATTCACATAATATGCTTTTTTAAAATAAAAGTTTTACTTCAAAATAATAAAACTGATCTTTGTGTAGGGTAGGCTGCATGTGTCCAATGTAATACAACAAGTTAAATAACGACATTTGGATAGGTTACATAGCAACCCAAGGTAACATCTGAAAGTGGCATTTTCCTTGCCTGCACCTCAAACCCATGCTAACACTTACATGATAGGCATATCTGTGGTAGATAACAGAATGTGGTTAATTATCATAGACTATAGAATGCTATAAACAGAATAAATAGTCACTTTATCCAGATAATCATTACTAGATTTGTAACTATAATGTTATGTCTTATTTCCCTTAAGAGAACTGGTATTTTCCCAACCATGAAAGAGAGTAGGGTCTAGAAACGATGACTCATACCTGTAATCCTAGCACTTTGGGAGGCTCTGGTTTGCAGATAGCTTGAGCCCAGGAGTGAGATATCAGCCTGGGCAACATAGTCAGACTTTATCTCTACAAAAAACAAAAACAATAGCCAGGTGTGGTGGTACACTCCTATAGTCCCAGCTACTTAGGAGACTGAGGTGGGAGAATCTCTTGTCCCCTGAAGTTTGAGGCTGCAGTAAGCCAAAATCGTGTGACTGCACGACAGAGCAAGATGTTGTCAAAAAGAAGAAGAGAAGGAGGAGGAGGAGGAAGAAGAGGAGGAGGGGGAGGGGGGAGGAGGAAGGAGAAAAGAAGAAGAAGAAGAGGAGGAGGAGGAGAAAGGATAATTGTTTTTCTTCTTGATTTTCGTCTACACCTATCTCACCCTCAAAAGATGCCCACACCATCAAAGACAATAAATATAATCCTGTTTGAAAGAAATAATATACATAGCCCTAATTCAATCCACTTCCTTTATTCTATACTCTTAAAAACACTAAATAAATATTAACAATTATGATTGCCTATTACTTTTATTATTATTAAAGTATAATAAAATTATTGCAAAATATCAGATTCCAAATTCTGCTAATTGGTATAAGTAACAGAGGCAACAACTAATTTTTACCAACCAATTAGCAGCATTTCTAATAATAATAAAAATGGACATTATTTTAATTTTATTTTATTTGTTACAACTTTCAGCACATAAAATTTATAATCATTTATACAAACAGCTCTATAATTCATATGCAGTTTATCTCAAGTAAGGTATACAGTATTCCCCCATTATCCACAGTGAATATGTTTCAAAACCTTCAGTGGATGTCTGGAACTGCTAATAGTATTTAGCCCCATATATCCCGTATATATATTCTATTTTTTTCCTATAGCATAGTTATTATAAAGTTTAATTAATGCATTAGAAAAAGATTAACAACAATAACTAGTAATAAAATAGAACACTTACAACAATATAATAAAAGTTATGTGAATATTCTTTCTCTCTCTTAAAATATTAATACCTTTATTGTACTCTACTCACCTATTTTCTGACCATGATTGACCATGGATACCGAAATCATGAAAAGCAAAACAACAGATACCATATATGCTTTATCTTTTGCTATCCTGCAAGTTATCTATTATATAACTTCATTTTCGCCTATTAACACATTCTCAGTGAAAGAAAAAACATGTTCAAAGTAGTAAAACTAGAAAAAATTCTAATATTTATTTTTATAATCATGTACTTCATTTTATTTTTTAGTTGGGAACATCCTTTACAAGTCAATGTTGTAATTAAAAATCAAGCAACTAAATATGCAAACATCTATGAATCTCTTTAATGAATGATATAAGATATCTACCTTGAAAACTATGTAATAAGTTAAGAAGACTCAGATAAATGGTAGAATATACCACACTTATGATTGAATTTAAAGACACAATATTGTAAATAATATGATTTTCCCTATAAAGATATTCAGATTCAATGCAATCTCAATAAAATTTTCTGAAAGTCATTTTGTGGAAATTTTCAAGTAGCATTGAAAGTTTATATGGAGATGTAAATTAGGTCCTGGAATACTCAAGGCTTTCCTGTAAAACAAAAACACTGAGGGATAAACACAACCAGATGCAAGATTGATACTAAGTAGACGTCAGAACCATATTTGCTGTAGTTTGACTCAAGGATACGCAAGTAGGCTAATGAATCAAAACAGACAATGTAAAATCAAACCACTAATATGGAGACAGAGACAGTGTACTACTTTGAGAAAATGATTTTTTAAAGGAATGGTGATGAAAATAGCTCACGTATATGAAAAAAGCAAAATGAATCTCAACCCCTCAATTGCACTATATACTAAAATTAATCCCAGAGGAACTTTAAATTATAATATAAAAGCTAAAAAAATAAAGTCTTTAGAAAAAATGCTCGAGGGAGTGTGGAGAAAAATGAACTCCTATATGCTGTTTGTGGGACTGTTAACTGGTATTGCCATTATGAAAAACAAAATGGAGGTTTCTGAAAAATCTAAAAGTAGAACTACCATATGAGACAGCAATCTCACTACAGGGTTTATGTCCAAAGGAATAAAAAATCAGTATGTCAAAGAGATACCTGTACTCCTATGCTCACTGAAGCACCATTCACAACAGCTAAGACATCAATCTCTCCAGAAAGGATAAAGAAAATGTGGTATGCTATGTATACACAATGGAATACTATTCAGCTTTAACTAGGAAGAAAATCTTGTCATTTGCAACAACAGAGACAAAACTGAAAGACATTATGTTAAGTGAAATAAGTCAGGCATGCAAAGACAAATACTGCAGGGTATCACTTACATGTGGAACACAAAAAAGTTGAACTCATAGGAGTAGATAGTAGAATGGTAGTTACCAGAGCTGAGGAAGTTAGGCAGTGAAGGGGAGATATTGGCAAAAGGGTACAGAATTTTAGTTAGACCAGAAGGGCAAGTTTTTGAGATCTATTGTACAGTATCTTGACTATAGTAAATGATAATGTATTATGCATATCATAACTGCTGAGAATAAATCTCAAATGTTATTACCACAAAAATAAGTATGTGAGGTGATTTATATGTTAATTGGATTGATTGTATATATTAGTTGTGTATTAGAACTTTTCATTAACTCAGTGCATCTAAAACTCAATGTATCTAGAACTGATTATTAATATATCTAATATGTTAATTACATTAATGTTAATTACATTGATCATTGCATAATGTATACATATACAAAAATATCACATTGTACCTTATAAATATATACAACCATTATGTCAAATAAATTAAAAGTCAAATAATATACAGAACATGTGTCAGGGACATTTCTAAATAAGTGCATTTATTTCTATGTGTAACCCTATCAGACAGGTACTGTCACTACCTCATTTCATGCATAGGGAAAGTAAAGAGCATGCAGACTAATTTGCCAAATGTCACTGCCAAAGACTTTTGGCACTTTTGAATGCTACTGCCAAAGACTTCTCCAGCCTTCCTAACTCACCTAAGAGGAAATAAACATCTAGTCAACAGATGTCAAGGCTTCAAGGAAATAGATTAGGAACACTGAAGTCAGGGAAGAGAACAGAGGAGGAGAGAGGGCACTATACAACCAGAGAAATACTTGTGAAGGTAAAGACGTGAGCCAAAGGCACCAGAAGGCTCAGGTTTAATTGGAAGATTATTGAGAGCTTTCCTTCTGCCATACCTTGCCACCATGCAAGCAGGGTTCCAGTATAATAGTGGATTATACTTGAAGGAACTGAGAAATAATCTTTAGGATGATTATAGTCACGTGTTGCTTAACGATGAGGATATGTTCTGAGAAATGCATCCTTAGGCGATTTTGTCATTGTGTGACATCATAGAGTGTACTGACACAAACTGCGATGGTACAGCCTAATACGCGTCTGGGCTATAGATTACTGCCTATTATTCCTTGGCTACAAACCTGTACAGCATGTTACCGTGCTGGATACTACAGGCAGTTTTAACACAATGTTAAGTATTTGTATATCTAAACAGAAAAGTTAAGAGTAAAAATATGATATTTTAGCACCACTGTCCTACAATACTGTAGGGCCCACCCCCTAACAGGTCCTAGTATGTGTTGTTCTCCTCCCTGTGTTCATGTGTTCTCATTATTCAGCTCCCACTTATATGTCAGAACATGTGGTGTTTGGTTTCCTATCCCTGTGTCAGTTTGATGAGGAAAATGGCTTCCACCTCCATCCATGTCCCTGCAAAGGACATGATCTCATTCCTTTTTATGGCTACATAGGATTCTATGGTGTATGTGTACCACATTTTCTTTAACCATTCTATCATTGATGGGCATTTGGCTTGATTCCATGTCTTTGCTGTTGTGAATAGTGTTGCAATGAACATATGTGTGCATATATCTTTGTAACTGGACGATTTATATTCCTATGGGTATACACCCAGTAATGGGATTTCTGGGTCAAATGGTATTTCTTGTTCTAGGTCTTTGAGGAATTGACACCCTGTATTCCACAATGTTTGAACTAATTTGCATTCCCACCAACAGTGTAAAAGTGTTCCTATTTCTCCACAGCCTCACCAGCATCTGTTGTTTATTTACGTTTTAATAATCGCCATTCTAACCAGTGCATGATGGTATCTCATTGTGGTCTTGATTTGCATTTCTCCAGTGATCAGTGATGTTGGGCCTTTTTTCATGTTTTTTGGTCACATAAATGTCTTCTTTTGTGAAGTGTCTGTTCATGTCTTTGCCCACTTTTTAATGGTGGTGTTTTTTTCTTATAAATTTATTTAAGTTCCTTGTAGATACTGGATATCTACAATGCTTTGTCATAGATTGAAAGCATTTTCGTTCATTCTGCAGGTTGTCTCTACATTCTAATGACAGTTTCTTTTGCTGTACAGAAGCTCTTTAGTTTAATTAGATCCCATTTGTCAAGTTGTGCTGTTGTTGCAATTGCTCTTGACGTTTTTGTCATGAAATCTTTGTCCGTGCCTATGTGCTGAATGGTATTGCCTAGATTTTGTAGTTTTGGGGTTTACATTTAAGTCTAATTCATCTTGAATTAATTTGTGTATAAGGTGTAAGGAAGGGGTCCAGTTTCAATTTTCTGCATATGGCGAGCCAGTTTCCCAGTACCATTTATTAAATATGGAATCCTTTCCCCATTGCTTGTTTTTGTCATGTTTGTTGAAGGTCATATACTTGTAGATGTGTGGTCTTATTTCTGATATCTCTACCCTGTTCCATTGGTCTGTGTGTCCGTTTTTGTGCCAGTACTATGCTGTTTTTGTTACCATAGCCTTGTAGTATACCTTGAAGCTGGGTAGTGTGATGACTCCAGCTTTGTTCTTTTTGCTTAGGATTGTCTTGGCTATAGGGGCTCTTTTTTGGTTCCACGTGAATTTTAAAGTAGTTCTGTGAAGAATGTCAATGGTAGTTTAATGGGGATAGCATTGAATATATAAATTACTTTTGGCAGTATGGCCATTTTTATGATATTGATTCTTCCTATCCATGAACATGTAATGTTTTTACATTTGTGTGTGTCCTCTCATTTCCTTGAGCACTGGTTTGTAGTTCTCCTTGAAGAGTCCTTCACTTCCCTTGTTAGCTGTATTTCTAGGTATTTAATTCTCTTTGTAGCAATTGTGAATGTGAGTTCATTTGTGATTTGGCTCTCTTCTTGTCTATTGCAGGTGTGTAGACATGCTTGTGGTTTTTGCACATTGATTTTGTATCCTGAGATTTTGCTGAAGTTGCTTACTAACTTAAGAAGCTTTCAGGCTGAGATATGGGGGCTTTCTAGATACAGGATCATGTCATCTGCAGAAAAAGACAGTTGGACTTAATTTCTTCTATTCCTATTTGAATATCCTTTATTTCTTTCTCTTGCCTGATTTCCCTGGCCAGAACTTCTAATATTATTTTGAATAGGAGTGGTGAGAGCAGGCATTCTTATCTTGTGCCAGTTTTCAAGGAGAATCGTCCAGTTTTTGCTTATTCAGTATGACATTGGCCGTGGGTTTGTCATAAATGGTTCGTATTAGTTTTTGATATGTTCCATCAAAATCTAATTTATTGAGTTTTTAACATGAAGAGATGATGAATTTTATCAAAGGCCTTTTCTGCATCTGTTGACATAATCTTGTCATTTTTGTCTTTAATTCTGTTTATGTGATGAATTACATTTATTGATTTGCATATGTTGAATCAACCTTGCATCTTGGAATAAAGCTGACTTGATCATGGTGAATAAGCTTTCTGATGTGCTGCTGGATTCGGTTTGCCAGTATTTTATTGAGAATTTTGGCATTGATGTTCATCAGGGATATAGGCCTAAAGTTTCCTTTTTTTGTTGTTGTTGTATCTCTGCCAGGTTTTGGTATCAGGATGATGCTGGCCTCATAAAGTGAGTTAGGAAGAAATCTCTTCTTTTCAATTGTTTGGAATAGTTTCAGAAGAAATTATACCAGCTCCTCTTTGTACCTCTGGTATAATTCAGCTGCTAATCCATCTGGTCCTGGGCTTTTTTTAAAGACTATTTATTACTGTCTCAACTTCAGAAGTTGTTACTGGTCCATTCAGGGATTCAAATTCTTCCTGGTTCAGTTTTGAGAGGGTGTATGCATCCAGGAATTTATTCATGTCTTCTAGATTTTCTAGTTTATGTGCATAGAGGTGTTTATCTCTGAGGGTTGTTTGTATTTCTGTGGGGTCAATAATGATATCCCCCTTATCATTTCTGATTGTGTCTATTTGATTCTTCTCTCTTTTCTTTATTTTTCTAGCTAGTGATCTATCTTATTTTATAGATTTTTCAAAAAATCAGCTTCTGGATTCATTGATTTTTTGAAGTGTTTTTCATATCTCTATCTCTGTCAGTTCCACTCTGGTCTTGGTTATTTCTTGTCTTCTGCTAGCTTTAAGGTTTGTCTGCTCTTGGTTCTCTAGTTCTTTTAGTTGTGATGTTAGGGTATCGATTTTAGATCTTTCTAGCTTTTTGATGTAGGCATTTAGTGCCACACATTTTTCTCTTAACACTGCTCTAGCTGAATCCCAGAGATACTGGTAAATTGTCTCTGTTCTCATTAGTTTCAAAGAACTTCTTGATTTCTGCCTTAATTTCATTATTTACCTGGGAGTCATCATTCAGGAGCAGATTGTCCAATTTCCACGCAGTTGTGTGGTATTGGATGGGGGTGGAGAATTCTGTAGATATCTATCAGGTCCACTTGATTCAGAGCTGAGTTCAAGTCCTAAATATCCTTGGTAATTTTCTTTGTTGATTATCTGTCTAATATGGACAGCAGGCTGTTAAAGTCTCCCAGTATTATTGTGTGGGAGTCTAAGTCTCTTTGTAGGTCTCTAAGAACTTGTTTTATGAATCTGGGTGCTCCTGTATTGGGTACATATATATTTAGGATAGTTAGTTCTTCTTGTTGAATTGATCCCTTTGCCATTATGTTTAGGATAGTTAGCTCTTCTTGTAAAATTGAACCTTTTACTATTATTTAATGCCCTTCTTTGTCTTTTTTGATCTTTGTTGGTTTAAAATCTGTTTTGTCAGAAACTAGGATTGCAACCCATGCTTTTTTTTTATTTACTTGACAATTTTTCCTCTATCCCTTTATTTTAAGCCCATGTGTGTCTTTGCATGTGCGATGGGTGTCTCGAATACAGCACACCAATGGGTCTTGACTCTTCATTCAGCTTTCCATTCTGTGTCTTTTAAATGGGGCATTTAGACCACTTACATTTAAGGTTAATATTGTAATGTGTGGGTTTGATCCTGTCATCATGATGCTAGCTAGTTATTTTGCAGACTTGTTGATGTAGTTGCTTCATAGTGTCATTGGTCTGTGTACTTCAGTGTGTTTTTGTAATGGCTGGTAATAGTTTTTGTCGTTGTTGTTGTTGTTGTTTTGGTTTGGTTTGGGGATTGTTTTTTGAGACAGAGTTTTGCTCTTGCTCCCCAAGCTGGAGTGCATGATCTCGGCTCACTGCAACCTCCGCCTCCTGGGTTCAAGTGATTCTCCTACCTCAGCCTCCCAAGTAGCTGGGATTACAGGAATGTGCCACCACGCTCGGCTTATTTTTTGTATTTTTAGTAGAGATGGGGTTTCTCCATGCTAGTCAGACTGGTCTTGAACTCCTGACCTCAGGTGATCCACCTACCTCAGCCTGTCAAAGTGCTGGGATTACAGGCGTGAGCCTCCGTGCCTGGACAGCAGTTTTTCTTTTCCATATTTAGTGCTTCCTTCAAAGTCTCTTGCAAGGCAGGCCTGGTGGTGATGAATTCTCTCGGCCTTTGCTTGTCTGAAAAGGATTTTATTTCTCCTTCGCTTACGAAGCTCAGTTTGTCTGGATATGAAATTCTGGGTTGAAAATTCTTTTATTTAAGAATGTTGAATATTGGCCCCCAATATCTTTTGGCTTGTAGAGTTTCTGCTGAGAGGTCCACTGTTAGTCTGATGGGCTTCCCTTTATATGTCACATGGCCTTTCTAACTGCCCTTAACATTTTTTCCTTCATTTTGACGCTGGAGAATCTGCTGATTATGTGTTTTAGGTTCGATCTTCTCATGGAGTATCTTACTAGGGTTCTCTGTATTTCCTGAATTTGAATGCTGGTCTGTTTTGTTACGTTGGGAAAGTTCTCCTGGATGATATCCTGAAGTATGTTTTTCAACTTGGTTTTTTCCCTGTCTCTTTCATGTACCCCAATCAGTTGTAGTTTTGGTCTTTTTACATAATCCCATAGTTCTCAGAGGGTTGGTTTGTTCCTTTTCATTCTGTTTTTTCTAATCTTGTCTGTCTGTCTTATTTCAGCAAGATAGTCTTCAAGCTCTGAAATTCTTTCCTCTGCTTGGTCTATTGTTATTGATACTTGTAATTGTATTGTGAAGTTCTTGTGTTGTGCTTTTCAACTCCATTAAGTCATTTATGTTCCTCTCTAAACTGGTTATTCTGGTTAATCACTCCTGTAATGTTTTATCATGGTTCTAAGCTTCTTTGCATTGGGTTAGAACATGCTGCTTTAGCTCAGCAAAGTTTGTTATTACCTGCCTTTTGAAGCCTACTTCTGTCAATTCAGCCATCTCACCCTCCACCCAGCTCTGTGCCATTGCAGGAGAGGTGTTGCAATCATTTAGAGAAAAGCCACTCTGGTTTTTGAGTTTTCAGCATTTCTTCACTGATTCTGTCTCACCTTACTGAGTTCATCTAGCTTCAATTGTTGAGGCTGCTGACCTTTGGATGGGGTTTTTGTGGGGATGTATTTGTTGATGCTGCTGCTGTTGTTGTTGCTTTCCGTTTGTTTGTTTTCCTTTTAATAGTCAGGCCCCTCTTCCACAGGGCTGCTGCAGTTTTCTGGGAGTCCACTCCAGACCTTATTCATCTGAGTGATCTTTTGATATTTAGTAAAAGGTTATTGAGTCTAGATGCTATATCCAATCATCTGTATATCTTCATCAGAACTTATTACAGATCCCACAGCATTGTAGTTATTTATCATTTATCGAAAATTGTCAGTAGAAAATGTTACTATTAATGAATGAGAACAATATAAATAATAAATTCACCTTGCTCATGAAACATTGTCTTGGATGGTAGGGTATAAATCATGCCAGCGTTATTTACAGATCTCGCCATACTCTTGCACTTAGAATATCTACTTTGGTACATCAAATGAATAAATTAACAAAATAAATTCACACAAAATAAGTAATTTCCTGTGGACCCCAGAATTTTAAGGATAGAAAAGAGACAGCAAAAAAGGATTGACAAAAGCATAACAATTATTATCAGCCTCTGCTAAATGCCTCATTTGATTTAATTGCTTCAAATGTCCAATGCAGAAATTGAGATTCGTGGAAATTAGTAACTTTCACAGTATCAGACTAGTCCATGGAAGTGCTGACAATCAAACCTAGGTATGCTTGACTTCAAAGCTGATTTGCTTTCCACTGTAATTCTTCCTCTTAACCAAACATTCTACATTCTAACCTCTTTGTTTCTACATCAATATATGCTGTCTTACTCATCCTGAGCTCTAAACTTTATTGCTTTTAATTGAACAGCATGTATGCCTTTCTTATTCTTGGACACCTTCTCTTGAGTTATTTTAGAAATGTCCTTTAGAGAAATACCTTCATTTAAACACACACACACACACACACACACACACACACACACACACAACCCATCTATCTTCCAAAGAACGTCTCAAATACTTCATCATTAACCATGTCTTTCCCCAAAAACCTTGAACTCAGCATTGAATGTCACCTTTCTCTTTTAAGCTCCTTGGCATTTTGTACATACGGTTCTGATAAAATGTATTAAAGTCATATTTTACACTCTTGTTATTTTGATGTGTGGTACATTTTCAAAAATACCAACGTTTCTTTATAATGTATAGTATGTCTTGCTCTTTTTATATTTTGTATCAAAAGCACTGCACTGTGCAAGAGACTTTAACAATCCCCCTGTATGGATTCTGTCTCTGTCTCAGTAACAGATTCCTCTCCACCTCCACCAGCGTATAGTTTAAGCTCATCTCATAGCCACTCATCTAGACACTGCATTTTTCTTTCACTCCTGTCCCTGGTTGTGATCATGTGGTTGGGTTTAGGACAAAGGAATGTGAGAAATGATGCATATGACCCCTTTGACATGAATAAAAATGATTGAATTAAATTCACAACATGATGCTACTGTACACAAGCAAGAAAATGAAAGATTGATGATTCAAAATGCTAGCAAGGATATGAAGCAACTAGAACACTTAAAAATTGCTGACCTAGGACTTAGTTGTATGTTGTTCTCATTACCCAACTTTTCTTTATCTTGACACCTTAAATTCTGATGTTCAATATCACAGTAGGGTGACAATAGTTAACAACAATATATTGCATACTTAAAAAACAGCTAGAAGAGAAGATTTGAAATCTTCCCAACACAAAGAAATGATAAATGTTTTAGGCTGTGGATACCCCAAATACCCTTATTTGATCATTATATGTTGTACGCATGTATCAAAATATCTCATCTACTACATAAATATCTATAAATATGATTTGTCAATAAAAAATGCAAAAAATCCGCTGTAATCTTACAAATTGGTACAATTACTTTTTTGCAAAATCAGTTTTCAAAAAATATTTATCAAGATGTATTAATATCAATCTTAGGAATATCATATTATCTGGCAATTCTAATTCTATACATATACTCCTTCAAATACAGCCATATATTACCAATACTATGTAAAGTAATGCCCACAACAACACTACTTTTGATAGCAAAATATTATGTATTATCTAGCCCCCCCACGAAAAAGCAAACAACGTGTAAAGAAATTGTAGTGTATTCATAAAGTTGAATATTATAACACAATGAGAATAGCTCATTTTTATATGCAACAATATAGATAAATCTTAAAAACCTAAACTTGAAGCAAACAAATTTGCTGCAATATTTCATTTATGTACATTTCTAAAGAAGCAAAGTTATCTTGGTAATAGAAATCAGGATAGTGGTTATCTAACGTGGGTAGGAACAAGGAAACAAGTGAAGGAGAATTTCTGCTTTGCTGGTCGTGTTATGTTTCTTGATCTGGATGCTTTTTTGGCTCAGTCTGCCCATTATACTAAAATTCATGTCAGTGGCACACGTCTGTAATCCCAGCACTTTGCAAGGTGGAGACGGGAGGATGGCTTGGGCCTAGAAGGTCTATACAAGCCTGAGCAACATAAAGAGAGCTCTTCTATACAAATAATAATAAAAAAATTAGGTGGTGGGCCTAGGGGTATGCACCTGTAGTTCCAGCTACACCAGAGGCTGAGGTGGGAGAATTCCTTTAGCTCAGGCAGTTCAGGTTGCTGTGAGCCATGCATGACTGAGCCACTGTACTCCACCCTGGGCAATAGAGTGAGACTTGAGCTCAAGGAAAAGAAGAGAAGAGAAGAGAAGAGAAGAGAAGAGAAGAGAAGAGAAGAGAAGAGAGAGGAGGAGAGGGGAGGGGAGGGGAGGAGAGGGGAGGAGAGGGGAGGGGAGGGGAAGGGAGGGGAGGGGAGGGGAGAGAAAAATATAGTCTTAGGATTGGTGCACTTTTCTAATTGTATGATATACTTCAGTGAAAAGCTTAAAAATAATAATCTGAAAGAAGTTAAAAATTAAAGAAAAGGGGAGATAAGAGATACGGAGAAATTAGAAGCCAATTAGATGGAGGATTTAAATATTGACATATCATATAACACTACTTAGTTTGGTATGAAATAATTATTTGTTTTATTATTCTAGACCCCAAGCATGCAAATGGAAGCTGGTTTGATTGAATAATGGATTTAGATAGGCACAATCTCTGAATCACAGTTTGCAGGTTATAATGTGCTTTCACTTATCTCTTTTGGCAGCATCCAGCTACACTATTGTGGGTGGGTGGGTCAAATGGTGGGTGTTTGTGGAAGGCAGGTGGAAGGCAAGTGGAAAGAAAAGGTGTTAATTTCTGTTTTAAGAAAATAAATGAAAGACTTGGGGAAATAAATTAGCAAATTCTGATAGGTAAATAATAATGGCAGCCTAAATTTACATCTTTTGTTCCAGTTGATTTTTGTGTGTTTTGTTGCTGGATAACTGTGAACTGAGTAAAACAAAGTCACATCATGATGGTGTAGGGGCATCATTAAAGAAAAGTTGAGAAAGGAGGATAGGCTTTTCTTAACAGAAGCTTGTTGCAGGCAATTTCACTAAAGTTGTCTAATAAGGTTTAAAATTAGTACTTCAGTATCCCATACATTTGTTTATAAATATTACAAGGGCTAAAGAAACATCTCAGGGAGTACTAATTCTTATTTTATTACCTAATTTTTCTTCAGGGAAAATTCCAGGAAAATAATCTATCGGTAAACAAACAATTAGGTTTGGCTACAGAATTAATATCTGCAATCAAAAATGTCAAAAAATACTTGTTCTTTACAACATCAAAGTATTCTATGACTTTAATAGTTAAACTAGTAAAGCATGGTGGTATAAGGACAGTCAGAAAATAAGGACAGGAAAAAATACACAAAGTTGTGGTAATATATTAAGTAAAAAAAAACACAGAATAACATAGAAAGATAATAAATTGCTTAATACAAACTCTATTTAGCAAAATAGAGTTTCCTCTATTAAGTTTGCTCCGTTAAGCTGTGTAATTCACATTTTGCACAAAAACAAAATCCAGTGTGAATTAAAAATAATCTCAAAATAAAACCATGTGACTTTAAGTAATAAAACTATGGACTTTTTTTATTTTTTGGTTAAATTTTAATAATATAACATGGGGAAACAAGTACTTGAATTTTGCTTATGGAAGTATGAGCTACTGAAATTGTCTAAAATGAAATGACAATACTTATCAAAAATTAACAGAACAAACTTTATACTGCAATTTTCATTTCTATTAATATACCTAGAAAAATGCTTGCAGAGATATGAATATATATGTGTATATATGTTTGTAGGTGTGTGTATACAGACACATTAATTTATTCATCAATCATAATGATACCCCAAACCATTGACTGGATCTCATAGGTCTAGTAATAGGTGAGCTATTATCTTTATGAAGAAACTATTTCAATCAAATTTCAAGCCTCATCTTTGGAACAGAATGTTTTTACTACCTTATCTCTAATGTGTTTGGTCTTTAACCCATAGATAAAGGGGTTGAGGAATGGTGGGACCAGTAGGTAAAGACTGGACAAGGTGATATGTACATATGATGGGATATAAGATCCAAATCTGCGAGTAAAAAATGAAAAAAAAAGCAAGGAGATAGAATTGGAAGAAGACATATATATGGGGAATACATGTATTAAATACCTTAAGTCGTGCCTCTTTCAGAGGCAAGTGAAAGACAGTGATAAATATCTGAATATAGGAGAGGGTGATGAAAATGAAGTCAAGCCCACCAACAATAAATGCTCCAAGGATACCATAGACCTTATTAATGTAAACATCTTCAGTGGCAAGCTTCACAAGGGCCACGCGTTCACAGTAAGTGTGGTATATTAACTTGGTTCGGTAGAGTTTCAGATGGCATTTTATAAGCAATAGGCATGGAATTACCAGAATGGCAGGCCGCAATGTCACTCCAACTACAATATAAGTGACTAGCTGTCGAGTGAATACTATAGCACGCCTCAGAGGATAACAGATCGCTACACAGCGGTCCAGAGCCATGGCTAGCAGGACTCCTGATTCAATGCCTTGAAATGTGTGGATGAGCCACATCTGAAAGAGGCAAGCATCAAAATATATCTCTGGCAAATGGAACCAAAAAATATCAAGCATCTTGGGCACAATGCTGGTGCTAAGTGAAATGTCTGTGGCTCCTAACGTGGCCAGGAAGATATACATGGGTTCATGGAGGCTTGGCTCAGATTTGATGATGATCAAAAGTAGAGAATTTCCAATCAGAGCAATGACATACGTAGCACAGAATGGAATCCCAATCCAGCATTGTACAGATTCAAAACCGGGGATCCCAATAAATGTCAGCACAAAAGGCATGAACAAGGTACCATTTGTAATAGGCAGGGCCATTCAGGGGTCTTCTTAGAAAGGGGAGAAAGTTTGCCAAGCTGTGATTCTCTGTACTTTTATATATTTTATGCTTATCCAATCACAAAGTTATTGAATAGCAGAATTAGGAGAACCAACTCCATCAACTTACTTATCTTTTTTTTAATGAATGAAAAAATGCCAATATAAAGACCCATAGAAAGGTTCACCAGTTTACACTTTAGCAAAATCATCCGGCCACACTCAGTGAAGACTTTTGGACATCATTTCTGAGAAGAGGCCAATATGATCAACCTGCTTAGTGGTGCTTTCCTTGTTCCCCAACTCCATTTTCTCTTTCCTCTTCTAACCTGTTCATGGAAAGCAGGAATACAAATATTTATATTTGGAATTATATTTTAGACAGAGAAATAAAAACATTTATTCTAGCTTTAGCCCCAAGTGTTCAAATATGACACTGCTGCAAGACTCAGACTCCATTCAGTAGACAATGACAGTCACATAATTTTGGTGTATTACCATAGCAATTCTGATACAGGAGACAACCGTATACAAAAACTCTGTAGTTCATATAAGCACCCTAAACCTCTCACACCAGGACTTTTTCCACACATTGGAGGGTAAAGACATATTTAAACTATTTATATATAAATTTAAAATTAAGGAAATTTTAGAGTACCTGGTTTAGGAGAAGAGGAACCTCAGGTTGTATCGTCAGGGGAACCATGAAGAAGATGTTGAATTAGTTAGAGGTGAGGTTTAGTTAACGAGTTTGGAAGCCTGAATCTCCATATGGAGGCAGTGTGAACAGATATAACCCTTACATAGAAATCAGGCCCTGGTGTGTGATGTTCCCCTTCCTGTGTCCATGTGTTCTCATTGGGCCTGTTGTGGGGTGGGGGCCGGGGGGAGGGATACCATTAGGAGATATACCTAATGTTAAATGACAAGTTAATGGGTGCAGCTCACCAACATGGCACATGTATACATATGTAACTAACCTGCACGTTGTGTACATGTACCCTAAAACTTAAAGTATAATAATAATAAAAAAAAAAGAAATCAGGCTACTTACTGCTGAAGGAAAGTCGAAAGCTCTATTTTTTTTTTTTATCTTCTGGAAAAGTTGACATACGAAAAATATGATGGGATGAGACTATTTGAAAATTCTCCAAGAAATTCAATGGGAAATAATTGACAAACATGTTGAGGTGGAAGTGCCTTGGGAAGCAGCAGAAATAGAGAAACATCCAAAACAAAATTCTGATTGCAATATAATGGCTGTGGCTGGGACACTTAACAATTTCCAGTAACGATACACTGGCAAATAACTATGGTTCAGTTGCAGGGCTGGTAACATGATATTATGCATCAATGATTTTTTTTTAAGTGAGAGCAGAGAGGTTATGCAAGTGATTAGTTGTCTAGGTCTAAATCAAGGTGATCCATAAATTTTATAAGTGGTGTGCTAAGCATTTCTAATATTTCTCCATAACTCAAGTCATCACATCCAAATATTATTCTGTGTTCTTCCCTGGCCCCTAGTCACCATGATAACCACAGATTTAAACTCTGGAATGTTTTGGAGATCATTACATTGTTAGAGCCCAGAAAACCAATATCCCTAAATATAGCACTTTAACATTCTGAACTAAAGAAGCAACCGCAAGGTTTCTCTGACATCCCCCAGCCCTTCCTGTCTTTCACTTCTTTGTCTTTCCCAAAGCATGGGATGAGGTTATTCTCTGAAGTTCCCTTATCTACCTAGACGCTAGACCCCTAAAGAGGAACACAATTGCCTTCAATCCCTTCCCTGAAATTCCATTAACCAGAGAAGATTAAAACTCATATTACAGAGGAAGACACTGAAAATTAAACACCACACCTGGAGCCCAGATGAACTTCATCTCAAACTATTGTCTCTTCTCAGGTCCCATTCAATCTCTCCCCTCCCCTATAAAGAAGGATATATAAGCATCTGTGCTTAATTGAGTTATCAGGTAATCATTCTCCTTGGAGTTCTCCATGCTTATGCATGTTAATAAAATTCTATGTCTTTTTCCTGTTAATTTGTCTTTTGTCGATTCATTTTAACAGACGTAGACTTCAACCTTCAGAGGGATAGTTTCAACTTCCCTACACACTCATGATCCTTCTCTCTTTCAAGTAAAACATCTGCAGGTCTAAATTACTTCTCCAATAGCAGGCTCCTAACTGCCCTTAACATCTCAATCTTCCAAAGTAGATTCTTCAACTTATCATTATTGTTCTTTAATTGTAGTTCATAGAATTTCAAAGTGAGACCCTAACAAAAATATACTCTTCATGTTTATGATTTGGATTTTTTCTGGAGTCTACATTCATTAGCTGCACTTGTACTTGTACTTCAGGATGTACTGTTTCACCTCCACTTGAGCTGTACACATTCCTAACTATAACTTACTCAATATCCAGGAGCAACAGTGACAAGTGACTGGCACAGAGGAAGGTTGCTCTCTGCTGGTCCCAGCTATGTAATATTTGTGGTTTGTAACATAATTTTCCCTGATTACCAAAGTTTTATTAGCCTTTCTCAAATCCTGAGAGATATTTTTTCCCTAGGGCAAAGATGGAAGTTTAAAGCCAGCCATTTCTAAGGGTTAGCGGCTTGCTCAATTCCCTGGGGGCCTGGCATATCTAGTATGGCCAGGAGATGGCAGTGTTGAAGCATCTTCTGTTAGTAAAACACATCCCTGTCTCTCAGAGCCCCAGAGATAGGGTTTATCTCGTTCTCACTTATTTGACAAAGAAAAAGGACACTAAAATAAGGCAATGCATCAATTGAGACTCCATTTCATCTCTGAACAAATTGGACAGCGTTACTGTATGCTTGGTAAGGAAAGGGAATCGAAAACAAAACAAATATTGTACCTTGTATTTACTCTTGACCATCAAAGGATTTCCAGAAGGCATTTCAGTGATCCAAGAAAGAAGTGTGTTTGGAAGTGGTAGGCAGAACAGGGTTGAGAGTACAGTAATGCCTGTAAGAAGTAAGACTTGCTAAGAGAAAGGGAGGAAAATCAATTATGCACAGATGATTTTTGTCCTATTTTAAGAGACAGAAAATTAGAGCAGTCCTTCCTAGAAAAGTAAATCACAAGCTTTTTTTTTTAACAATCTCTTGATCCCAAGAAGTTCCCTACTCTTAAATATCTTTAATACAGAGTTTAATTTAAAATGCATATATGTTTTGGCTTTTAGTTTTTCCTTATTTAAAATTAATTAATGCAGAACAACACAAACTAGAGAACCTAAACGAAATGGACTAATTCCTGGAAACATACAACCTCTCAATATTGAGCCAGGAAGAAATTGAAATTTTAAGCAGACCAATAACAAGTTCCAAAATTGAATCACTAATAAAAAAACCTACCGACCAGTAAAAGCCCTGGACCAGATAAACAGCCAAATTCTACAAAGAAGTATAAAAAAAGAGCTAGTACTCATCCTACTAAAATGATTCCAAAAAGTTGAGGAGGAGGGACTAATCCCTAACTCATTCTGTGAGGCCAGATTTGTTCTGATACCAAAACCTGGGAGAGACACAAGGAAAAAAGAAATCTTTAGGCCAATATCTCTGATGAACATAGAGTCAAAAATCCTCAACAAAATACTACAAGCAAAATCCAGCAGCACATCAAAAAGCTAATCCACCAAGATCAAGTAGGTTTTATTCCTGGGATGCAAGATTGGTTCAACATACATATAACAATAAATGTAATTCATCACATAGACAGACCTATAAACAAAACCACATGATTATCTCAATAGGTACAGAAAAGCTTTTCGTAAAATTCAACATCCCTTCATGTTAAAAGTCCTCAACAAACTAGGCATTAAAGGCACATACCTCAAAATAATAAAAGCTGCCTATTACAAACCTACACCCAATGTCACACTAAACGGGCAAAAAATGGAAGCATTCCCCTTGAGAACTGGAACAAGACAAGGATGCCCACTCTCACCACTCCTATTCAACAAAGTACTGGAAGTCCCAGCCAGAACAATCGACAATAAAAAGAAACAAGAAACAAAAGGGATCCAAATAAGAAGAGGGGAAGTCAAACTATCTCTCTTCACCCGCAATATGATTCTATACCTAGAAAACCCCATAGTCTCTGCTCAGAGGCTGTTAGAACTGCTAAACAACTGAAATAAAATTTCAGAATACAAAATTAGTGTACAAAAATGAGTAAAATTTCTACACATCAACAACATCCAAGATGAGGGCCAAATAAAGAATGCAATTCCATTCACAATAGCCACAAACAGAATAAAATACCTAATAATACAGCTAACAAGGGAGGTGAAAGGTCTCTACAATGAGAATTAAAAAACACTGCTCAAAGACATCAGAGATGACACAAACAAATAATAAAACATTTCATGTTCATGGATAGAATCAGTGTTGTGAAATGGCCATATTTCCCAAAGCAATTTACAGATTCAATGTTATTCCTATCAAATTACCAATGCCATTTTTCACATAATTAGAAAAAAAAATCTAAAATTTATATGGAACCCAAAAAGAGACTGAATAGCCAAACAAATAGCAAGCAAAAGAACAAAGTCATGGAGTCACACCAGATGACTTCAAACTATACTCCAAGTCTACAGAAACTAAAACAGCATGGTACTGGTACACAATTAGACACATAAACCAATGGAACAGGTTAGAGAATTCAGAAATTAAGCTGCATGCCTACAACCATCTTATCTTTAACAAAGTTGACAATATGAGTAATTGGTAAAGGATGTCCTATTCAGTAAATGGTGCTGGGATAACTGGCTAGCCAATACAATCT
>NW_017363816.1:0-140877 GCF_000001405.40 Homo sapiens
TACATATCACTTTTAAAAAATACTACCAATTTTATATCAACATTTTCAGGGATTAGAGAAAATGAAAAAGGGCATTACAAGAAAAAATATCAGATAAATATCTCTCATTAACACAGTCACAAAAATTCTGAACCCAATATTTAGCAAATAAAATACAGCCATATATAAAAATAATAATGTATCACGAGCAAGTAAGTTTTGTCCCAGGAATGAAATGTTGATTTCACATTCAAAATCAATTCATGGCCACATGCAGTGGCTCACACCTGTAATCCCAGCACTTTGGGAGGCTGAGGTGGGCAGATCGCTTGATCTCAGGAGTTCAAGACCAGCTGGGGCAAATATTGAGAACCCCATCTATACCAAAAAATTTTTAATTACCCGGGTGTGGCGGCATGCACCATAGTTCCAGCTACTTGGTAGGCTGAGGTGGGAGGATCGCTTGAGCCCAGGAAGTTAAGGCTGCAGTGATTGGTGATTGTGTCACTGCCCTCCAGCCTGGGCAACTGAGTGAGACCTTGTCTCAAAAAAAAAAAAAAAAATCAATTCATATAATTCACTGCATGAACAAAATTAAGTAGAAAAAAATATGATCAATTCAATAAATAGAGAAAAAACTTGATAGGATTTAACATATGTTCATGATTTTTAAAAAGTTTAAGAAAACTAGGAATAGAACTTCCTCAGTAGGATAAAGCCTATTAACAAACACCCTACAGCCAACATCGTTCTTAATGAGAAAATACTAAAAACTTTCTCTGGGAGTCAGGAACAATGCAAAACTATCCATTATAATTACATATATTCCACATTGTGCTGGAGAATCTAACCAGTGCAATAAGGCAAAGAAAAGAAATAAGTGCCATTGATAAAAATGACTAGGAAAAATTTTAAACTGTCATTATTTGCATACAATAATTTTGTGGGTGTAGCAAATCAAAATTTATAAACTATTAAAACTAATACATTTATGAGATGCTACATGGTATTAAAAATTTACAATTACAAAATATGCAACTACAAGATCACTGACTAGATTCGGCTGAGGTGCACCTCTTCCACAGAGAGGAACCAAAATATCGAGTCGATATTCACACTTTAAATAGATCATCTGAGAAAGAGCACTGGAATTCAACAGAGAGGCAACAGGAGACACAGAAGGTGAAGGAAGGAGATATGGGGCTGCCTGTTTGGGGTTGCTAGGAGCCAAGAGCTGCCCCAGACCCAAAGAAGGGGTAAGTGAAGGAACCCCAGAGCTCCACATTTCTGCTGCAGACTTCTACAATCCTAGATACAGGAGATTCCCTCAACCCCCATAAGCCTCCAGACTGGCATAGAGAGCTGCCTGGAGATTGTGCAGAGGTGCTTCTCAAACTTACATGGAGTCTCATAGGCTTCCAAGCACTGGGCAGCTGCAGCATGGTGCCATTCTGGGAGCCCATTCCCCATGGATCTCTGTCCTGTCCTGAGGCTGCCACTGCCACTACTGGCTGCTGGGCCAGGTAGTGAGAGGGGAGGCCAGGTGCTCTCACATCCCTCGAGGAGAGGTTCCACTGCTTCTGCTGTTGGACTGAGGTCATTTGGACCACATGCCTCATGCCTGCCAGTCTCTCCCAAATCTGCCTGCCTAGCCATTCCTATGGAGAGAGGACCACCCTTCCAAGTGGCAGACCCACAGTGCAGCCACTGTTGCCCTACATGAGTGTTTTTCTAGTGGCCAGGGACCAACTTGCCCTGCCTATCACCACCAGCACTTGAGTCCAGGGATCCCGAAGACAAGGCTGTTGGCCTGGTCCTATCCCTGCACAATTCCAGCATGCCATCCAGGAGCATGGAGATGAGACTTGTGATCTGACCTGGAGCCCCCCACAGTCAGAAGTGAGAGGAGAGTGTGGTGTGGGTTCATATCGTGGCACAGGAGCTGGGTACTCCTCCCTTCATAGGACCAGACCAGGAAGGATGTGGCCTGACAGCCAAAGTTTCTGCCCCAGACAGGGAGTTTCATGGCCTGGGGAGGCTTTGCCATCTGAACACAGACAGATTAGGATGGGCCTAGTGGTCCTGGCCAGCTGCTGGTGGCCTAAGGCTGTAGGGAAACCCATGAGGTTGGAGGTTTGGGGGCAGAGCAGGTCCCACTGCCACTTCCAGCTGCTGATTCATGGCCACCCCTCCCCCTAGCACAAAGGTGCTTTGATGCAGCAGAAATGCCTCTGCCCCTTCCTGGAGGGTTGCCCTGGTAGCCTGAGACCTGACCCCAAACCCCCAGCAGAATCAGCACTTGCACCAGCCTTGGAGAGCCTGGTCCAGGACTTCCCAGACCCAGCCATGCCTGGCTTTGCCCCATCCAACCACTGCAGCAGCAGAGCATAGGACAGGGAGTCCTGGGAGTTCCATGGCCCCACCCCTTACATGAGACACCCAGAGCTTCTGTAATGAACAAAATCCAAGGAAAAATCCCACTGCTCCCTCTCTCCTGGAAATGCCACATATTGGTTTGGAAGTCAACCTTCACAGCTTATTAAACTGCCCACACAACTGCACAGTGCTCAGCTGGCTCATATCTGCAAGTGCCACCTACTGACCTGGAGGTAAAACTAAACAACCCAATACAATCTCTGCTGACAGAAGTGCACAGTGCTGGGGAATAAAATAAGAGACTTCCCCCTGCTCATCTCTGCAGGAGGCAGTGATCCTTCTCACATGCCCAATCCACTGCTGCTACAACATACAAACAATAGTATTTGAGAAAACCATTACACTAAGGCTATGTATCATCAAAAAATTCATAGATTTGGCTCCCTGAAAGTACCCAGAAACAAAGTCAAAGGACCCTACACAATATATCCTATAGTCACACCCTCAAGAGGGGAATAAAGTTCTATCCAAACAAAAGTAAATCCAAAAAGAAACCAGCCTAAGATTTCTGGGACCATAGAAAAAAAGAGTGTTGCAATACACCCAAAGGATCACACTACGTCTCTAGCAATGGACACTGCTCCCCACATCCCAGGCTGCTCCAGCTTCTGCCACAGCTCAAAGGGATCCTGGCACAGCTCAGGTTGCCACTCTAGAGGGCACAAGCCATAAGCTTTGGCAGCTTCCATGTGGTATTAAGTCTGCTGGTACACAGAGTGCAAGAGTGAAGGTGGCTTGGCAGCCTCCATCTACATTTCAGAAAATGCACGAGAAAGCCTAGGTGCCCAGGCAGAAGGCTGCTGCAGGGGTGGAGCCCTTGCAGAGAACCTCTAATGAGGCCCCACACAGAGTCTCTACTAGGGCACAGACTAGTGGAGCTGTAGGAAGGGAGCTGCTACACTCCAGAACCCAGAATGTTTGAGCTTGCAACCTTAGCATGGAAAAGCCACAGGGAAGAGTAGCCCAAGGCTTTGGGAGCCCGCTCCTCACAACACTGTGCCCTGGATGTGGGACATAGAGTCAAAGGAGAGTATTTGGGAGTTTTAAAGCTTAATGACTGCCTTGCTGGGCTTTGAAATTGCATGGGGCCTATAGCTCCTTTCTTTTGGCTGATTTCTCCCTTTTATAAAGGGAATGTTTACCCAATGCCTGTACTACTGTTGTTTCTTGGAAGTACATAACCCGTTTTGATTTTACAGGCTTGAAGATGGAAGAAACTAATCTCCAGATGAGACTATGGACTTGGACTTGGTACTTTGAGTTAATGCTGGAATGAATTAAGACTTTGGGGACTTTTGGGAAGGAATGATTGTATTTTGCAGCATGATAAAAACATGAGATTGGGGGGGATGGGGTGGAATGATATAGTTTTGATATTTGTCCCCACCCAAATCTTATGTTGAAATGTCACCCCCAATGTTGGAGGTGGGGTCTAATGAAAGGTGTTTGGGTCATGAAGGTGTATCCCTCATGACTTGGTGATGTCCTCGTGATAGTGAGTTCTCATGAGACCAGGTTATGTTAAAGTCTGTGGCATCTTCCCCCAACTTTGCTCCTGCTCTGGCGTATGACATGCCTGCTCCTGCTTCACCTTCCACCATGAGTAAAAGCTCCCTGAAACCTCCCAAGAAGTCAAGAAGATGCCAATGCCATGCTTGTTCAGCCTGAAGAACTGTGAGCCAATTAAACCTCTTTTGTTTATAAATCACCCTGTCCCAGGTATTCCTTTACAGCTATGTAAGAATGGTCTAACATATTCATCATCATAAAGCATACAAAAGTATAAAATTTACAGGTCTTATAAAGCAGTTACACAACTGAAACTACAAAGCCATTAGGTAATAATTACCATTATGACAGGAACAAAAACTCACATATCAATATCAACTGTGAACGTAAATGATTAAATGCTCCACTTAAAGGATATAGACTGGTGGAAGGGATTTAAAAAAAAAATCCAGGCCAGGTGCAGTGGCTTATGCCTATAATCCCAGCACTTTGGGAAGCCAAGGCAGGTGGATCACCTGAGGTCAGGAGTTTGAGACCAGCCTGTCCAACATGGTGAAACCCTGTTTCTACTAAAAATACAAAAATTATCTGAGTGTGGTGGCACACATCTGTAATCCCAGCTACTTGGGAGGCTGAGGTAGGAGAATCGCTTGAACCTGCGAGGTGGAGATTGCAGTGAGTGGAGATCGTGCCACAACACTCCAGACTGGGAGATGGAGCGAGACTCCATCTCAAAAAAAAATAAAAAATAAACAATTCAACCAGATGCTGCTTATTACAAACCCACATAATTGTTGAAGACCATTTGCAGCCTCAAGGTAAATGTGTGGGAAAATATATTCCATGCAAATAAAAACCCAAAGTGAGCGGGAGTAGCGATATTTATATCAAATATAACAGACTTTGAAGTAAACAACAGTAAAAAAAAGACAAAGAGGTTATCTAATGACAAGGTATAAATTCAAGAAGAACTTATAACAATCACAAATATATAAGCACCCAACATGAGAGCACCCAGATACATAAAACAAATACTACTAGACCTAAGAAAAGGTGTACAGTGGAATAAGAACAGCTCCAGTCTGCAGCTCCCAGTGAGATCGATGCAGAAGGCAGGTGATTTCTGCATTTCCAACTGTGGTACCTGGTTCATCTCATTGGGACTGGTTGGACAGTGGGTGCAGCCCACAGAGGACAAGCCAAAGCAGGGCAGGGTGTCGCCTCACCCAAGAAGTGCAAGGAGTCAGGGAACTTCCCTTTCCTAGCCAAGGGAAGCTGTGAGAGACTGTACCAGGAGGAATGGTACATTGCTGCCCAGACACTGTGCTTTTCCCATGGTCTTGGCAACTGGCAGACCAGGAGATTCCCTCCAGTGCCTGGGTTGGTGGGTCCCAGGCCCACAGAGCCCAGCAAGCTAAGATCCATTGGCTTGAAATTCTCACTGCTAGTGCAGCAGTATGAGATTGACCTGGGATGCTTGAGCTTGGTTGGGGGACAGGCACCTGCCATTGCTGAGGCTTGAGTAGGTGGTTTTATGCTTCAGTGTAAACAAAGCTGCTGGGAAGTTTGAACTGGGCAGAACCCACCACAGCTCAGCAAGGTGGACTGCCTCCTAGATTCCACCTCTGTGGGCAGGGCATCATTGAACAAAAGGCAGCAGCCTCAGTCAGGGACTTATAGATAAAACCCCCATCTCCATGGGACAGAGCACCTGGGGGAAGGGACAGCAGGGGCACAGCTTCAGCAGACTTAAACATCTCTGCATGACAGCTCTGAAGATAGCAGTGGTTCTGCCAGCTCAGCCTTTGAGCTCTGATAATGGACAGACTGCTTCCTCAAGTGGGTCCCTGACCCCAGTGTAGCCTGACTGGAAGACATCTCCCAGTAGGGGCCAACAGTCACCTCATACAGGAGAACTTTTGCTGGCATCTGGTGAGTGACCCTCTGGGACTAAGCTTCCAGAGGAAGGATCAGGCAGCAATAGTTGCTGTTCTGCAGCTTCTGCTGGTGATACTGAGGAAAACAGGGTCCAAAGTGGACCTCCAGCAAACTCCAACAGACCTGTAGCTGAGGGTCCTGGCTGTTAGAAGGAAAACTGACAAACAGAAAGGAATACCATCAACATCAACAAAAAGGACATCCACACCAAAACCCCATCCGTAGGTCACCAACATCAAAGACCAAAGGTAGATAAAACCACAAAGATGGGGAGAAACCAGTGCAGAAAGGCTGAAAATTCCAAAAATCAGAATGCCTCTTCTCCTCCAAAGGAACACAACTTCTCGTAAACAAGGGAACAAAGCTGGATGGAGTTTGAATATGTTTGACAAATTGACAGAAGTAGGCTTCAGAAGGTGGGTAATAACATACTCCTCCAAGCTAAACAAGCATGTTCTAAGCCAATGCAAGGAAGCTAAAAAACTTGAAAAAAGGTTAGAGGAATGGCTAACTGGAATAACAAATGTAGAGAAGAGCTTAAATGACCTGATGGAGCTGAAAAACACAGCACAAGATCTTTGTGAAGCATACACAAGTTTCAATACCTGAATCAATCAAGTGGAAAAAAGGATATCAGTGATTGAAGATCAACTTAATGAAATAAAGCAAGAAGACAAGATTAGAGAAAAAAGAGTGAAACGAAATGAACAAAGCCTCCAAGAAATATGGGACTATGTGAAAATACCAATTCTATGCTTGGTTGGTGTACCTGAAAGTGATGGGGAGAATGGAACCAAGTTGGAAAACACTCCTCAGGATATTATCCAGAAGAACTTCCCCAACCTAGCAAGGCAGGCCAACATCCAAATTCAGGAAATACAGAGAACACCACAAAGATATTCCTCAAGAAGAGCAACCCAAAGACACATAATCGTCAGATTCACCAAGGTTGAAATGAAGGAAAAAGTGTTAATGGCAGCCAGAGGTAAAAGTCAGGTTACCCACAAAGAACAGCCCATCAGACTAACAGCAGATCTCTCTGCAGAAACCCTACAAGCCAGAAGAGGGTGGGAGCCAATATTCAACATTCTTAAAGAAAAAAATTTACAACCCAGTGGTGAAATAGGAACGCTTTTACACTGTTGGTGGGAATGTAAATTAGTTCAACAATTGTGGAAGACAGTGTGGCAATTCCTCAAGGATCTAGAACTAGAAATACCATTTGACCCAGCAATCCCATTGCTGGGTATATACCTAAAAGATTATAAATCTTTCTACTATAAAGACACATGCACAAGTATGTTTATTGCAGCACTGTTCACAACAGTAAAGACTTAGAACCAACCCAAATGCCCATCAATGGTAGACTCGATAAAGAAAATGTGGCACATATACTCCATGGAATACTATGCAGCCATAAAAAAGGATGAGTTAATGTCCTTCGCAGGGACATGGATGAAACTGGAAACCATCATTCTCAGCAGAGTAACACAAGAAGAGAAAACCAAACACTGCATTGTTGGGAGCAGGCCCCCAAAAATCTGGCCATAAATTGGCCCCAAAACTGGCCATAAACAAAATCTCTGCAGCACTGTAACATGTTGATAATGGCCCTAATGCCCAAGCTGGAAGGTTGTGGGTTTACAGGAATGAGGGCAAAGAACACCTGGCCCGCCCAGGGTGGAAAACCACTTAAAGACATTCTTAAGCCACAAACAATAGTATGAGCAATCTATGCCTTAAAGACATGCTTCTGCTGCAGTTAACAAGCCCAACCTATTCCTTTAATTCGGCCCACCCCTTCGTTTCCCATAAGGGATACTTTCAGTTAATTTAATATCTATAGAAACAGTGCTAATGACTTGTTAGCTGTTTATAAATATGTGGGTAACTCTCTGTTCAGTCTCCACCCCAAATCAACAGAATATACATTCTTCTCAGCACCACATAGCACTTATTCCAAAATTGACCACATAGTTGGAAGTAAAGCACTCCTCAGCAAACGTAAAACAACAGAAATTATAACAAACTGTCTCTCAGACCACAGTGCAATCAAACTAGAACTCAGGATTAAGAAACTCATTCAAAACCACTCAACTACATGGAAACCCAACAACCTGCTCCTGAATGACTACCAGGTACATAAAGAAATGAAGGCAGAAATAAAGATGTTTTTTGAAACCAATGAGAGCAAAGACACAACATACCAGAATCCCTGGGACACATTCAAAGCAGTGTGTAGAGGGAAATTTATAGCACTAAATGCCCACAAGAGAAAGCAGGAAAGATCTAAAACTGACAACCTAACATCACAATTAAAAGAACTAGAGAAGCAAAAGCAAATACATTCAAAAGCTAGGAGAAGGCAAGAAATAACTAAGATCAGAGCAGAAGTGAAGGAAATAGAGACACAAAAAACCCTTCAAAAAATCAATGAATCCAGGAGCTGGTTTTTTAGAAAAGATCAACAAAATTGATAGACCACTAGCAAGACTAATAAGGAAGAAAAGAGAGAAGAATAAAATACATGCAATAAACAAAGATAAAGGGGATATCACCACCAATCTCACAGAAATACAAACTACCATCAGAGCATACTATAAACACCTCTATGCAAATAAACTAGAAAATCTAGTAGAAATGGATAAATTCCTTGACACATACAACCTCCCAAGACTAAACCAGGAAGAAGTTGAATGTCTGAATAGACCAGTAACAGGCTCTGAAATTGAGGCAATAATTAATAGCTTACCAACCAAAAAAAGTCCAGGAACAGATGGATTCACAGCCAAATTCTACCAGAGGTACAAGGAGGAGTTGGTGCCATTTCTTCTGAAACTATTCCAATCAATAGAAAAAAAGGGAGTCCTCCCTAACTCATTTTATGAGGCCAGCATCATCCTGATACCAAAGCCTGGCAGAGACACAATAAAAAAAGAGAATTTTAGACCAATATCCCTGATGAACATTGATGCAAAAATCCTCAATAAAATACTGGCAAACTGAATCCAGCAGCACAACAAAAAGCTTGTCCACCATGATCAAGTGGGTTTCATCCCTCGGATGCAAGACTGGTTCAACATACATAAATCAATAAATGTCATCCAGCATATAAACAGAACCAATGACAAAAACCACATGATTACCTCAATAGATGCAGAAAAGGCCTTTGACAAAATTCACCAGCCCTTCATGCTAAAATCTCTCAATAAATTAGGTACTGATGGGATGTATCCCAAAATAATAAGAACTATTTATGACAAACCTACAGCCAATATCATACTAAATGGGCAAAAACCGGAAGCATTCCCTTTGAAAACTGGCACAAGACAGGGATGCTCTCTTTCACCACTTCTATTCAACATACTGTTGTAATTACTGGCCAGGACAATCAAGCAGGAGAAGGAAATAAAGGGTATTCAATTAGGAAAAGAGGAAGTCAAATTGTCCCTGTTTGCAGATGACATGATTGTATATCTAGAAAACCCCATAGTCTAAACCCAAAATCTCCTTAAGCTGATAAGCAACTTCAGCAAAGTCTCAGGTTACAAAATCAACGTGCAAAAATCACAAGCATTCTTACACACCAATAACAGACAGAGAGACAAATCATGAGTGAACTCCCATTCACAATTGCTAGAAAGAGAATAAAATACCTAGGAATCCAACTTACAAGGGACATGAAGGACCTCTTCAAGGAGAACTACAAACCACTGCTCAATGAAATAAAAGAGGATACAAACAAATGGAAGAATATTCTATGCTCATGGATAGGAAGAATCAATATTGTGAAAATGGTCATAGTGTCCAAGGTAATTTATAGATTCAATGCCATCCCCATCAACCTACCAATGACTTTCTCATAATTGGAAAAAACTACTTTAAAGCTCATATGGAACCAAAAAAGAGCCTGCATTGCCATGAAAATCCTAAGCCAAAAGAACAAAGCTAGAGGCATCATGTTACCTGACTTCAAACTATGCTACAAGGCTACAGTAACCAAAACAGTATGGTACTGGTACCAAAACAGACATATAGACCAATGGAACAGAACAGAACCCTCAGAAATAATGCCACACATCTACAACTCCCTGATCTTTGACAAACCTGACAAAAACAAGAAATGGGGAAACGATTCCCTATTTAATAAATGGTGTTGGGAAAACTGGCTAGCCATATGCATAAAGCTGAAACTGGATTCCTTCCTCACACCTTATATTAAAATTAATTCAAGATGGATTAAAGACTTAAATGTTAGACTTTAAACCATTAAAACCCTAGAAGAAAACCTAAGCAATACCACTCGGGACATAGGCATGGGCAAGGACTTCATGTCTGAAACACCAAAAGCAATGACAACAAAAGCCAAAATTGACAAATGGGATCTAATTAAACTAAAGAGCTTCTGCACAGCAAAAGAAACTACCATCAGAGTGAACAGACAACCTACAGAATGGGAGAACATTTTTGCAATCTTCTCATCTGACAAAGGGCTAATATCCAGAATCTACAATGAACTCAAACAAATTGACAAGAAAAAAACAAACAACGCCATCAAAAAGTGGGCAAAGTATAGGAACAAACACTTTTCAAAAGAAGACATTTATGCAGCCAAAAGACACATGAAAAAATGCTCATCATCACTGGCCATCAGAGAGATGCAAATCAAAACCACAATGAGATACCATCTCACACCAGTTAGAATGGTGATCATTAAAAATCAGGAAACAACAGGTGCTGGAGAGGATGTGGAGAAATAGGAACATTTTTACACTGTTGGTGGGATTGTAAACCAGTTCAACCATTGTGGAAGTCAGTGTGGTGATTCCTCAGGGATCTAGAACTAGAAATACTATTTGACCCAGCCATCCCATTACTGGGTATATACCCAAAGGATTATAAATCATGCTGCTATAAAGACACATGCACATGTATGTTTATTGTGACATTATTCACAATAGCAAAGACTTGGAACCAACCCAAATGTCCAACAATGATAGACTGGATTAAGAAAATGTGGCACATATACACCATGGCATACTATGCAGCCATAAAAGGAAACAAAAAAGGAAAAAAATTGGTTGAACAAAATTCAAAATAATAAAAATTATATTCAACAAACACACAGCCAACAGTACACTGGATGGGATACTGTTTAAAGCATTCCCCTTTAAGAACTGCAACAAGACAAGGATGCCCACTTTCAACACTCCTACTCAATATAGTTGGTACTAGAAGTCATAGCTAGAAAGAGAAATAAAACTTATCCAAATTGGAAAATAGGAAGTTAAATTATTTCTGTTGACTGATAATATGATCTTATACCAAAAAACAAAAAACAAAACAAAAATAAAAAAACTTCTCCAAAAGACTCCTAGATCTCACAAGTGACTTCATTAATGTTTCAGGATACAAAATTGACATGCAAAAATCAGTAGCATTTTTATATACCAATAACAATCATGCTGAGAACTAAATCAAGAAGTGAATCCTATTTACAATAGCTGCAAAAAGAATAAAATACATACAAATAAACTTAACCACGGAGGTGAAAGATCTCTACAAGGAGAATTACAAAACACTGATGACACAATCATAGATGACACAAACAAACAAACAAAAATCCTATGCTCATGGATTGTAGACTAAATACTGTTAAGGTGGCAAGCAATCTATAGATTCAATGCAGTTTCTATCAAATTACCAATGCCATTTTTCACAGAATTGGGAAAAATCCTAGAATTCATATGGAACTAAAAATGACCCTGAATAGCCAAGGCAATCCTAAGCAAAAAGAACAAAGCTGGAGGCATTACATTACCTGATTTTAAATTATACTCCAAGTCTATAATAACTAAAACAGCATGGCACTGATATAAAATAGACACATAGATCAATGGAACAGAATAGAGAACCCAGAAATAAAGCCACTTACCTATAACCAACTGATTTTCAACAAAGGTGATAAAAATATGCACTGAGGGAAGGACACCCTATTCAATAAATGATGCTGGGAAAAGTGGATAGCCATATACAGAAGAATAAATATGGACCCATATCTCTCACTATGTAAGAAAATTAACACAAGATGGATAAAAAGACTTAAGTGTAAGACCTGAAACTATAAAGATCATAGAAGAAAACCTAAGAAAAGCTCTTCTGGACATTGGCCTAGGCAAAAAAATTATGACCAAGTCCTCAAAATTAAACACAACAAAAATAGATAAATGGGACTTAATAAAATTAAATAGCTTCTGCACAGCAAAATAATTAACAGAATAAACAATTTAAAACTTGGAGAAAATATTTGCAAATTAAGCATCTGACAAAAGGATAGTATCAAGAATCTACAAGGAACTCAAATAAGAAAAATAATAATAATAATCCCATTTAAAAGTGGGAAAAGGACATAAACAGGCATTTTTCCAAAAAAAAAAAAGACATACAAGCAGCCAACACACAAGAAAAAGTGCTTAACACCACTGATCATCAGAGAAATATAAATTAAAGCCACAATGAAATTCCATCTTACAGCAGTCAGAATGGCTATTATTAAAAAGTCAAAAACAACAGGTAATATACACTATTGCTAGGAATAAAATTAATAAAACCTGCATGAAAAACAGAGGGAGATTTATCAAAGAACTAAAAGTAGTACTGCCCTTTGATACAGCAATCCCAATACTGGGTATCCACCCAAAGAAAAAGACATCATTCTATCAAAATGATACCTGCACTACGTTTTTAGCAGCACTATTCACAATAGTAAAGACATGGAATCAACCATCAACAGATGATGGATAAAGAAAATGTGAGATATATAGATAGATATCACAAATGTGAGATATATATACAAACACACACACACACACACACACACACGCACACACACACCATGGAATAGTACTCAGCCATAAAAAAATGCAATCTTGTCTTTTGCAGCAATGTGGATGGAACTGGTGGACATTATTCTAAGTTGCATAACCCAGGAACAGAAAGCCAAATGCTACATGTTCTCATTTTTTAAAGTAATTAATCAGCAAGTTTTTATTTAGTTTTTTTGTTATTATTATACTTCAAGTTCTGGGATGCATGTGCAGAATGTGCAGGTTTGTTACACAGGTATACACATGCCATGGTGGTTTGCTGCACCCATCAACCCATCGTCTACATTAGGTGTTTCTCCTAATGCTGTTCCTCCCTTAATCCCCAACCCCCCAACAGGCCCTGGTGTGTGATGTTCCCCTCCCTGTGTCCATGTGTTCTCATTGTTCAACTCTTACTTATGAGTGTAGATGTTCTCACTTTCAGTGAGAGCTAAACAATGGCATACATGGACATACAGGGTGAAAAAGTAGACATTGGAAACTCCAAAAGTTGGGAGGGTGGGAGAATGGTGAAGGCTGAAAAGTTACCTACTGGGTACAATGTTCACTATGCAGGAAATGAGTACACTTAAAGCCCAGACTTCACCACTACACAATATATCCATGGAACAAACCTGCCCATGTACCCTTAATATCTATTAAAAAAAAACAACAACAGTTCTTTGAGAAATCTCCAAACCACTCTCCAAAGTAGCTGAGCTAATTTACATTCCCACCAACATTATGTAAGTGTTCCCTTTTCTCTGCAGCTTCAACAGCATCTATTGTTTTTATCTTTTATCTAAAAGTTCAAAATATGTTTTAAATGTACAACTAGAAAACATTGGTAAAAGCAATTTAAAAATATCTAAATAAATAGAGAGATATTCCATGTTCATGGATTTGGAGACAGGATATTGCTATTATTTTATTCTCTCCACATTTTAAATAAAGATTTTGAAAAAATGAAAAACAAAGCATAACAAATTATAAAACAAGATCAATTCACTTATCTGGCTATTATTTGGGGTAAAACAAGAATAGCATGTGAAAATAAATGTCACTATCTATCCTAATCTTGATAAAATGGTAAAAGCACAGTTCCCAAATTTCAAAATACATAAATTGGACTTTATCAAAATTAAAAATGATTCTGAATCTAAGTACACTATCAAAAAAGTGAAAATCAACCCAAAGAATAGGAGAAATATTTGCAAATCGTATATCTGATGAGTATTGTTTCCAGAATACAAAAAGAACTGTCACAACTGAAAAAAAAAGGTAAACAACCCAATTTGAAAATACACAAAGAATTTGAAAAAGACATTTTCCCATATAAGATATACATATAGCTAATAAGCATATAAAAATATGCTAAACATCATTGGTCATTAGGGAAATGTAAATCAACATTGAAATGAAATACCACTTCACACCCAGTGGATGGCCATAATTTTTTTAAATGGCAATTAACCAGTGTGGCAAGAATATTGAATAATTGGAAATCTAGTACATTACTAATGGAAATGTGAAATGTAAAATCTATGGATCTGTGAAAAACTGTTTGGTTGTTCTTTAAAAAGTTCAACATAGAATGACCACCTGACCCAGCAATTCCACTCCTATGTTATATACCCAAAAGAATTAAAAACAGGTGTTTGAACAAACTTGTACATAAGAGTTTATAGCAGCACCACTCACAATTGTGAAGACAACCTAAATTTCTATCAGTCTGTATGAGTGGATAACCAAATTTTGGTATGTCCACAATAAAGTACTGATGCATGCTACAACATGGATGAATCTTGAAAGCATACTAAGTGAAAGAAGACACTAAAGGTTGAAAATTGCATAATTCTATGTATATAAAATGTCTAAAATAAGCAAATTAATAGGAACAAAAAGCAGATTACTGGTTACCACGGACTGGGAAAAGGGGAAATAGGAACAACTGTTCAACTATTAGGAGGTGATGAAAATCTTCTGCAATTAGATAGTTGTAATTATTGTAAAACATTGTGATTGTACCCAAAGCCAATTGATTACACATTTTTAAATAGTCAAAGAATGAATTTTTTCGTGTAATTTTTAGGTTAATTAAAGAAATCACAACACAAAAGATATTTTGAAATAAATGAAATTTAAAGCACAACGTATCTGAATTTCAGGAAAGTAACAAAAGTTCTAAAAAGAAAATTTGGGTCACAAAATGCATATATTAAAAATAAATAGGCCAGGCGCAGTGGTTCACACCTGTAATCCCAGCACTTTGGGAGGCTGAGGTGGGTGGATCACAAGGTCAGGAGTTTAAGACCAACATGGTGAAACTCCATCTGTACTAAAAATACAAATATTAGCCAGGCGTGGTGGTGGGCGCCTGTAATCCCAGCTACTCCAGAGGCTGAGGCAAGAGAATCACTTGGCCCTGGGAGGTGGAGGTTGCAGTGAGCCAAGATCACGTCACTGCACTCTAGCCTGGGCGACACAGCAAGACTCCATCTCAAAATAAATAAATAAATAAATAAATAAATAAATAAATAAATAAATAAATAAAATAATGTCTGAAAACAAACATCAAAAGTTTTGTACTACAGACACAAAAAATAACAACAAATTAAGCAGAAACTAAGTAGAAGATAGGAAATAATAAGGATTAGAACAAGAATCAATGAAATGTAAATTTTAAAAATAGAAAAATCAATTTAACAAATATCTGATTATTTTAAAAGAACAATAAAATTGATAAACAATTAGCTAGATTAATGTGAAGGAGCAAAAGATGGAAAGAAGTAAGGGAGGAGAGAGAGAAAAGACAACTCATGTCAATAATGAAAGAGCATATAGCCTTACAGATTCCACTTAATGATGAACACTATCCCTCTAAGATTGGGAACAAGACAAGGATGTCCACTCATCACTTCCATTCAGCTACGAAACCTAGGTCTAGTAATGTACCCTAGGTTTCAGCCACTGCAAAAATATAAGAAAAAGAAATAAAAGACACAGAGATTGCAAAAGAAGAAACAAAATTATAAAAATACATTTATTTGCAGATGACATAATCATGTAGGTAGAAAATTTAAAGTATTCTACAAAAAACTAATAGGACTAATCAGTGAGTTTAGCAAAGTAACAGGATATAATGTCAATATTTTAAAAATCAGTTGTACTTCTACAGTAGCAACAAACAATTAGAAATTGAAATTAGAAGCAAAATACTATATAAAACATTATTTTAAAACATGGAATTTGAGGAGTAAATTATAACAATCAATTCAAGACCTGTATATGAAAAGTAGAAAACCCTGGTCAGAGAAATTAAATACATAAATAAATGGAGAGATATATGATAATAATAAATTAGAAAACTTAATAATTCTTTTACCATATCATTCTATATTTTCAATGCAATTCCAATCAGAATTTTTGGAGATGTTGACAAGCTTATCCTGAAATTTACACTCTACCTAATTTCAAGATTTAGTATAATGTACCAGTATCAATACTGTTTGGTATTGGCATAGGATAAAAATATAGCTCACTAAAATATAATAGAATGTCCAAAAATACATCTAAATATATAAATTTTTAAAGGAATGCCAAGGCAACTCAATATTTTTCAACAAATTATGCTGAGTCAATTGGATACCCATAAGAAAAAAAAAACTTCAGCCATTACCTCATATAATGCACACACACACACAAATAACCTTAAAATGAGTTAGAGATCCACATGCTAAATCTATAAAAATTCTACAAGAAATTGTTTTGATCTTAAGGAAATCTTGCCATTTGTGACAATGTGGAAAAACCTACAGGACACTGTACTAAGTGAAATAAGCCAGACATAGAAAGTCAAACGCTGTATAATCTCACTTATATGCAGAATCTAAAGAGTCATATTCATAGAAACAGAGAGAATGATGGTAGAATGATGGTTGCCAGGGCCTGGCAGATGAGGGATATGGGACTATATTTATCAAAGAGAACAATCTTTCATCTATAAGATGAACAGGTTCTGAGGATCTCATGTATAGCATGATTAGTAATGTATGTGTTAATTTTCTGTAATAACTATTACACAATGTACACATCGATCAAATCAACATTTTGTCCACCTTGGACACATAACATCTTTGTCAATTAAATATTTTTAAATTTAAAAATTAAAATTAATTAAATGGCCACAATTAGTTTCATGCCCTCACTGCTCTAGATCTCAAGCAACCATTAGCAGGTTTCCATAAAAAGGTGTAATGTTGATTTTTTAAAAAAAGAAGCCTCCTGTGACGTGAATCAACAAAGAAACTACATCACAGGTCCACATACAAGTTACACTACCTTGCTACTCACACAGCATTCAGCATTCTTAACAACACAGGTTCAGATAGAGAAAGAGGACTCATAGGATTAGGTTCCAAGTATAAAGAATGAAATTCCTCATTCAGGAATTGTTTTGTTTTGTTTTATTATTCCCAAACTTGTCTCTCCAGAATACTACTTCTGTGGCAAAGTTTTTCCATCAAAGGAGATAATTAATTCCTAGGAGAGAAAGCAGCAGCTATAAAATAAGATCCCTGAATCTTTACGGAAACCTCTTTAAATATTCATGCAGTACAAGACAGAAATGTTTTTCTTGTTCACTCATCCACAGCAAGATTAATCACAGGCAAAGTGATCCATACATAACTGTTTCCTCCACACCTTTTGCCTCTTGCACTGTGGAACCAGAGCTATACATAATCAATTCTTCATGGTGTTTCCAGTGAATCGATTTTAATTCAAGTCCCAGGTTTTCTGTGAAAATTTTTGAGACTTAGGCCAGATAAAAAGATTTATACTCATAAGAAAACTTTCTTTATTGAATTATAACTGATATACCAAAAACTACACATTTAATGTGTACAGTTTTTTAACAACTGTGATTTAACATTGAATTATCTGAATAGACATAGACCTGAGGGGTTATAAAAGGATTCCTAGGCCGGGCGCAGTGGCTCACGCCTGTAATCCCAGCACTTTGGGAGGCCGAGGCGGGTGGATCATGAGGTCAGGAGATCGAGACCATCCTGGCTAACAAGGTGAAACCCCGTCTCTACTAAAAATACAAAAAATTAGCCGGGCGCGGTGGTGGGCGCCTGTAGTCCCAGCTACTCAGGAGGCTGAGGCAGGAGAATGGCGTGAACCCGGGAAGCGGAGCTTGCAGTGAGCCGAGATTGCGCCACTGCAGTCCGCAGTCTGGCCTGGGCGACAGAGCGAGACTCCGTCTCAAAAAAAAAAAAAAAAAAAAAAAAAAAAAAAAAAAAAAAAGGATTCCTAGATGAAAAGATATCAAAAATATGACCAGAAGGATGAAAAGGAGTCAGCAGAATGGGGGCCAGACACAGTGGCTCACGCCTGTAATCCCAGCACTTTGGGAGGCCGAGGCAGGCAGACCACGAGGTCAGGAGTTCGAGACCAGCCTGGCCAACATGGTGAAACCCCATCTCTACTAAAAATACAAAAATTAGCTCAGCGTGGGGGCAGGCACCTGTAATCCCAGCTACTTGGGAGGCTGAGGCAGGAGAATTGTTTGAACCTGAGAGGCAGAGGTTGAAGTGAGCTGAGATCATGCCATTGCACTCCAGCCTGGGTGACAGTGCAAGACTATGTCTCAAAAAAGAAAAGAAAAGAAAAGAAAAAAGAAAAGAAAAGGAGTCAGCAGAATGAATATGCATGAAGGTGAGAGCAGTGCTTGTAGGAGAGAGAATACATAACAAAGGCCAGGAGGTGAAAAGAGTATGCAGGAAACCTAGTCAGTGCAGTATGGCCATGATTATTAATTTGCTCATTCATTCAGCAATTATTTACTGAACCCCCAACTTGCGTGCCAGCCACCATGAGAGACACTGAGCTTATAAAGTCTTGTAAATTGTAAGATATGAAGCTAGAGAGATAGGAAAAGAGAATATCAAGAAGGTGCTTATAGTTGTGTTAAGACTTAACACTAATGACTATGGGAGAAACAGGGAAAGTATATTTAAGCTAGTGAGTAATGCAGTTAGATTTTAATTTTATAATGATAATCCTAACTACAGTATGTACAATGGATTGATGGATCAAGACTGGAAGCAGGAGAGCACCTAGGGGTTATTGTAATTATTTCAGTGTGAAAGGCTGGAGGCCTCAGCCCTGGTGTTGCCAGTAAGGACGCAGAATGTGGTGGACACTATTGTGTCCAGCTCAAATCCCCTTCACCAGGCCAGTGCACAAGTGCCCCAGCTACTGTGGGTGTGGGCTGCCAACAGCTCACAGCCTTGCCCTTTTCTGGACAATTGCACCAGATAAAATGGGAGCTGCATCACTTAGGGTATTTTGTTCCCTCTCCCGGAGCCCACCAGCGATGATTGACTGGAATAGGGTTTAAGAGGTTAGTTCCTTTGTCTCAAGGTGGAAGCAGTTCTGTAGTACAATGTATACCTCAGAGCTCCCGGGGCTCCAGGCTAGAGACAGATTAGTTGAGACCACATCCTTCCTTCCCCTACTATTGTATGTTTCCTTCAGTCTTTTCCCCTTATAAATCACGTTTATTAAAATTCCCATATCATCCTCTGAGCCTAGAGAAATCAAATTAACATGGAGAGATATAGAAGGTTTCGAAGAATATTTTTGAATTCTAAACAAAAGAACTTGATATAGGATGAAGATTAGAGAGAGAGAAGTCACAGATGAAACTTGGGCCCTGGCTTAGATCACTGGATGGAAGGAAGAGAGAGAAGATTAATGAGGTTTTGAATACATTGAATGATGTTCAAGTCTCAATGTAGTAATAAATATTACACACATAGGTAATCCTAGGACCTGTCATCAGAAACAAGACCTGGAGGCAAGGCATAGAGGCAGAAAAGTGGTAGACAGGGGTTGGGGGAATGGGCATAATGGGGAGATGTTGGTCTAAAAGTACAACATTTCAGTTAAACAAACTGAATAAAGTCCTGAAGATGAAATGAACATCCTGGTGATTATACTGAATAATAATAATGTAATGTATACTTGAAATTTACTAAGAGAATAGATCTTAAATCTTACAAAAAAAAATAGTACCTATGTGAGGTGAGAGCTATGTCAACTAGCTTGATTATGGTAATCATTTTACTGTGTATACATATATCAAAACATCACATTGCATATCTTAAATATATGCAATTTTTGTTAGTCAGTATTACTTCAATAAAGCAAAGAAATATTAGAAATTAAATGGTATGATATAATGATTTTATAATACATAGTTGATTTTTTATTGTACAGATACTAATATTTGTCTTATTATTCTAAGTGAAGTAACTCAGGAATGGAAAACCAAACATTGTATATTCTCACTGATATGTGGGAGCTAAGCTATGAGGATGCAAAGGCATAAGAATGATACAATAGATTTTGGGGACTTGGGGAGAAGAGTGGGAGGGGGTCGAGGGATAAATGACAACAAATATGAGGCAGTATATACTGCTCGGGTGATTGGTGCACTAGGATCTCACAAAACTCCACTAAAGAACTTATCATGTAACCAAATACCACCTGCACCCCAATAACTTATGGGAAAAAAAATTAAAAAACACATACAATGGATTATACCAAGAAAAAAATTACTAATATTTGTGATTAATATCTTCCTAAATCCAAACTGTTCAAGAAAAGCATAATATGTTAAGTGAAGTTTGGCTTATCTATGACAGTTGATGGAATTATTAATGCTAAGTCAAAGTATAAAATCATTCAGGAATGAGCTGGATGTGGAAGGTAGAGCTGGAGGTTGAGGCATAGTGGTCTCAGGAACACAGATTCAGGGATACAAATGGGAATGGAGAATGAGATATCTCTGATAACAGCTTTTAATCTTTTTTATTACATGAGTAGTAGTAGGAAATAGAATTGCGTGGAAAAAAGTTAAACTAACATAAACAGTGAAGTGCACTATGCATATAAGTCATCTTTATTAAGGCTGTTTACCTAATGATCCTCTCTAAGACTACCTGTACATGCTCAGTGGGGAACACTTATGAAAGTTTTAACAAGTATTACCAGTTTCACTGACAATTTTCTATCCAAACTGTCTAGTCATCTTTATTAATTTCTTTACTCTAGAATGAGTCAAAAGACACTCTAGAATTGTGTCCCAGGAATCTCTGCTGCATCCATCTTCTACTCACCACTCTAAAATTTCTTGAGTATCTTCATGCCAGGTACCTGTCTTGGTGACTTATGTGTGATTTTGCCTTCCTGCCAGATTGAAGTTTCAGTCGCCCTTGGATATCAATTCTGGTTGTGTCCCTGGATGCTATATATTTCCAGTTTTCTCATAACTTTATCTTTCTACACATTCCTGTTCCCATTCTGGTACCAGTCTAATGCCTAGTGACCCATCATATACCTTTTGACAAAGGAGCAAAAACTAGATCCTTCATGCTTTGAAGAGTATAACAATTGCCAAATCATGAAAATTCAGTTAAAAGTTTAAATAAGCCAGGCACATGCCTCACTTTGTAATCCCAGCACTTTGGGAAGCCGAGGTGGGCAGATCACCTGAGGTTGGGAGTTCGAGACCACCATGGCCAACGTGGTGAAACCTTGTCTCTACTAAAAATATAAAAATTATCCAGGCATGGTAGCACCCACCTGTAGTTTCAGCT
Organism: Homo sapiens; assembly: GCF_000001405.40. Taxonomy (NCBI): domain Eukaryota; kingdom Metazoa; phylum Chordata; class Mammalia; order Primates; family Hominidae; genus Homo; species Homo sapiens. The sequence continues at coordinate 21,398 of NW_017363816.1, forward strand.
ACTCAGGAGGCTGAGGCAGGAGAATCGCTTTAACCCAGGAGGTGGAGGTTGTGTTGAATCCAAATCACACCACTGCACTCCATCCTTGGCAGCAGAGTGAGACTCTGTCTCAAAAAAAAAGTTTAAATAACAATAATGTTTAAGTTTTTTCTACAAGACCACTTCCGAGTAATTGTTCACCCTCTGTCTGTATATCTTCAGTGAAAGGATTAATCAGATACCAGTGCATAACTAATAGTAAAATTAAATGAAATTATAACATTAGGTAATACAGAATTTTTAATATATGTTTTATTTTCATTTTTAGGCTTTACAATAAAAAAAATAGTTGCAGCTACCTACTACCAGCAAATTATGTAGAATAAGGAACCATATCTCAATTTATGTCTCATTCTGCCACTAACTTGAGGTTTGGTCAAATCATGCCATATATATGCACTTCAATATCCTGTAAAATGTATTATAAGAATTAAGAATAAAATTTGGGTGCTAGTTATCAATGTATTGCCTCTCAGCTCCAAATACAACCTTCATTTCCTGTGCATATTAATGAAAATAAGCCCTGTAGGAATTTATCCTCTGCACCTAGTCTGCTTTGATGTTAAGATTTGTCAATATAGAGAATCAAAAGGGGCATCTCTTCCTGATTTAAATACGTTTCTGTTTTCATCTTGCTCTCTGTAGCTTCCAGCAGCATGTGTGTTTGGCTGGGCCGGGCAGGGGGAGGGAGAGACATTCAGAGGTGCTCACTTCCATTGAGTTTCACTGACAACTTCATGGACAATTTCCCATCGAGTTTCAGTGGTGCAGGGAGATTCCAATAAGTCACACAGATACTCCAACAATCAGGTTTCCAAAACTGCCTATCGATAATGGGGTAGCCTTGGTCCACCTGCACCCTAGAGGGTTATTTCCTGCTTGCCAGTCCAGGCTACAGTTCCTCATTTACCAGCCTAAGCCCACCAGTATTCCAGCAAAAGCCTCCTGGCTGGCCAGTCCCAGACAGGTTTCTTGTGTGGCAGCTTCTATCCAGCTACCATGAACTAGTTCTGGCCCAAGACTACCCAGTGAACTTCTCCACCATCCAATGGGCAGCAACTACACTTTCTCCAAGATATTGGAATCTCAGCCTTGGGAAGGGAGCCCAGCTCCCAAATGTGTTCCCTTCTTAGATACTCGTTTCTCAGTCACAGGGCATTCTTTACTTCTTTATAGTTAATCCCTCGATATAATTAATAATTTTATGTAAATTTGCAATGCTCAAATCGGGGAAGCTGTGTGATCTGTCTCCTGATTGAACCCTAGCTGATACAATATGGAAAAAACTTAATATAATGCAGTCTTGCGGCATTAGATGAACAGAACATCTTTTTACAATATGACCAACATATTGTGACCAATAAAATTTACAAAAGAAAGTATGTATATATTAAGCCAGGGTCCAAATTAAAGAAATATCATTAAACATGTAAATTTCAATAATCAGCAGTAACCAACAGCTTAATGTTATATAATAAGATTATTTTAATATCAATCTAATATTCTACATTTATACTTTTTAGCATCTAGAGATGTTTCAAGTTTCCAGGCAATTGATGAATATGTATTAATTAAAAAGCAATAGTGGTGATGACAAGAGTGTGGGATAAGAGACAGTAAGCTTTACAGTCCAAGCTTTAGCTTTATGCTTTACTGACTATCTGCAAGCATTAGCCAGCCCCTTGTTAGAGTTGACATATTCATCTACAAATCAAGAAGCTTAAATACCTATTACCTCTATGTTGAGTGCTCAATGGTCTTATTTAATCATTATCTGAAGTCACTTTTTTTCTCCAAAGCTTCCTTATTGCACTTTTTACCTCAGCATTTCTGAGTGTGTAGACCACGGGATTTAACATTGGGACCACCATAGTATAAAATACAGCAACAGCTTTATCAATGGGCAGAGTGGTCACTGAGCGCAGATACACAAATATACAGGGCACAAAGAATAAGACAACTACTATGATGTGAGAAATACAGGTGGAGAGGGCTTTACACCTCCCCTCCAAGCTATTGTTCTTTAAAGATCTCAAGATGATCACATAGGATACCACCAAGATAAGGAAGTTTAATAAGCAGATAAACCCACTGTTCACAGCAACAAAGAGACCAAGGGTATGAGTGTCTATGCAAACAAGTTTTAACAATGGGTACAAGTCACACATGAAGTGGCCTATGACATTGGGGCCACAGAAGGGCAGCCATACTGTAAAGAGAATCTGAATAGTTGCATGAAGAAATCCTCCCACCCAGGCCACTGCCACCAGGAGAATGCACAGGCTGTGGCTCATAATGGTTGTGTAGTTCAGAGGTTTGCAGATGGCCACATAGCAGTCACAGGCCATCACTGTCAGCAGGATGATCTCAGTAGCACCAAAAATGTGTTCTGCATAGGCTTGAGCCATACACCCATTAAAGGAGATGATTTTCTTCTCTTGAAAGGAATCCACAATCAACTTAGGAGCTGAAGAAGAAGAATAAACTGTGTCTATCAAAGAAAGGTGGGTCAGGAAGAAGTACATGGGGGAGCTCAGAGCCTGGCTGGTGGTAATGGTAACCACAATGAGCAGGTTGCCTGAAAGTGTTATCATGTAAAGAACCAAAAATACTACAAACGTGACTTTCTCCATTATGGGGTTCTGTGTAAGACCTATTAAAATGAATTCAGTCACATTCTTTTTCTTCTCCATCTATGTAGTGTGGGTGATAAAACCTCCAGGAAGGAATATTTTACCTTTAGAAAAAAGAAAGGAAAAAAAAGAAGCATAAAAGAATCAAATAGTCCAAAACTTTGCCTTTTCACTGCTCTGCCATCTCACAGATGATTCCTTCTCTTCCCAAAACTCTCTAGGAATAGGTACCCGTAAACTTCTCTAGCTGACTTCTTAGTTTTTTATTAGCCTGACCTCAAAAATATTCTTAGAAGACATGGGACACCCAGAAGAGAGAGATTCCATTTCCTAGAGTGTAGTTGTTTCAAAACTTCACTTAGACATCAATATGATGAATTAATGCATTCATTAGAGGTAATAGTTTTGGAGACTAATAAGACTTTAAAATGTGTATATGAAATAACATGAACTAAAAACCATAAAATAGTCTGTATATCTTAATTATAATTATGCAAGTATTCCATAGGTTAAAAGTTAGTGATAATAGTTATGGATTTAGTATTGAAGATTATAGGTTTTATAGGTATATTTTAGTAATAAAATTTGACTTCAAAAATTTTAGTTATAAAATTTTATATAGGTTTTGTTTTACCTATGGTAAAACATATGTGTAGAGAAAAGTTGATAAGGAAATAATATATTTAGGACATTTACTTCTGGATGTGAAACTATGGGTGATTTTTATTTATGTTTTCTACAGCTTGCATAACTACCTGTATAGTTAGGAAAGAAATATAGTTTCTATATTTTTTCTTGGAGACCTGAAGCTGAAATCATAAATGTTTACATTGAGCAGAATATGTAGGAAAACAAATATAGGGAATTGTACATTGGTACATGATAGGAATCCAGGAAATAGCTGGGTATAGTTGAAGTAACTGCTATAATGTGCTCATTAAATTTTTGTCACCAAGTCACCATATGGACATAGGGAGAGTGCCTGACTGGACCCTAACTTTTCTGAAAAGATCAGGACAGAGGATGAGGCTGCCATGACTGCCCATGGATCTTTTAGAATCTTCCTAATATCTATGACTGCTCATGGATCTTTTAGAATCTTCCTAATATCATCTTTAGTCTACCAGTCAAAGATTGTTGATCTCTGGTTTTATAGCATTGATATGACAGTCAGTAAGTCAAGTCTGAATAATCAATGAGAATCTCCTTAATACATAGTCTATTTTCATTTACTTGAAGAAGAATGCACATTTCATTCAATTAACTTTAAGATAGTACTTAAAGCTAAGTTTTGCTATTATTCTCACTTTTTCCTAGACTTCAGGTTTTTTTTTTTTTTTAAATCTTTATGTGTTCTTAAAGCACAAAGGCAGTGGTGGGTAAGATGAATTGCCTCTGTTACATGGAGGTATGATACCTGACGAGGTACATGAAAAGGTAACATCTTCCTTGTGATCCCACACATGCTTCATTGAGAAGCGGGCCTAAGAGCTCCAAGCTCCAGGATCATGGTCTCCCTTCTGGATAGCCCGGTGCTCCAGAGAATCCTTTCAGGGACAAGAACTCTTGAGAATAAGGTTGGATGCCCTTCTGATTACCAACTTTTCCCTAGAGGAGATGGCCTTTGAGAGAACCAACAATCAACTAATGTTTTTACAAGTTCCTGAAGGTCTATGCCAAAAGTTAGACTTCCTGATCAAAACCAGACAGAAAACCCCAAACTTGACTCATTCATTTTCATTATCTCACTTATTCAATTTCTTGCAAGTCTTGAAGTAATTAGAATATATTTAAAGAGCAGTTCTTTTTTACAGTTTTCATCTCCTTCCTATTTCCCTGCAGATACAAACATACAAACAGAACAACTCAGTCTCATGTTCAAAATTGGTGTCTTTGATGTTCACTGTTAATTGGGAGACTTGAGCACAGGATTAGTTCCTTTTTCTGCCCTAGTCCAAAGACATAGTGTGCCTATTACCACTTACATCTTCTAATACCCATATTTTTACAGAAATTAGAAATGGAGAAAAGTGTCAACCTAGCAGAAAGACCTTGATATTCCATAAAAGGGCCCTCAGACCGCAATTGAGAGGTAAGGACATAAACAAACTTCTTCCCAGAGAAACCATTGTTACCTTTTTAAATTTCATATACTCATTTTGAAATGCAAACCTTTACTACCACTCTGCTTTTCCCCATTCTTACTTTCTAGCATGCAGAGATTTATTTTTATACGCTGTACTTCCTATAATAATTGTTCATTTTTATTGCATGCTTGTCGTGTACTTGGTACTATACTAAATGCTTTACATGCATTTTTTCACTTAATCCTCACAATGCTTTGAAGTTGGTACACAATTATCTATATTTGAAAGAAAAGTAAACTGTGTTGAAAAGAAAAACAACTTACCCAAAATTATAGTGTCAATTAAAAAAAACAGAGAAGACTGTATTCAAGCACAAGATGTCTGCCTCTAGCTCTTCAGCACTTAACCAGTGCTTCTGGGACTCAGCAGTGCCAGAGTTTGGACAAGTGGACTAGTACCTAAAGCTAACACCTGTGACCATAAGAAATTAATGGCATTCCTTTTGCTAAGCTAAGAAATGCAGAGTCAGATGTAATGATTTCAAGGGTCCAACTGGACAAGACTCTAGAATTGTTAGACATTAAAAATCCTCAGGTACTTTGCATTGCATCAACTTATCCGTACTTTAAAGGTGAATAAACTGAAGTCTCAAGAGGTAACATCTAAGAAAACACAGCTAATTTATTTGTGGCAGAGAATAACAAGAAAATCCAGGTCTAATGCCCAACAATGTGAATTTTTTTTCCATCATATCTGGCCTTCCTTAAGATACATTAATATGAGTGTATACAAGGAAAATTCACCTTACAGTGACAAAATTAAGTTTCATGTCTTATCTTTGCCAATACCTGTCTTGATTGCCTAAGAAAGAGGCTAAGTCTGAGTTTAGGGATGAAGAAATTCAGCCATATTGCTGAGACCACATCCATTGTAGCAGAAACAAGTTATCATCTGGTTAAAACAATATCTGGGAACACATGAATAGAGTCAAAATAAAAAATACACCTAAGCCTGGAGTTCAATATAGATTCCCAGCTACAGCAGAGAGTACACTGTTTACTTGCAGATCCTGTATTTTAATACACTTGCCTTTTGATCGCAGTCTTAGAGCTAAAGTTTTCCTTTGAATAACATAATCCAAATTCTCTCCTTCTCTTCCCTCCCACACTGATCCGGCCTGAGCTCGGTGAAGGTCACACACCCTGTCAGCTCTACTTTAATTTTGCCTTTCTTTATTTTCAATTGTTTCTCATATCTCCTGCTACTAGTACAAGGTGAGATTTTCCCTCTTTTTCTCCCTGGAGACTTTCAAAGAGTATTATTTCAAGGAAATGAGTGATTCTACATAAAGCAATCTCTGACTATCATTACATCATATGCCCTACCCCTGGAGAAAATCTTCAATGACCCATCCACCTACTGCACTCTCTCCACACTTAAAAGCCTAGAAATTGATTCAGGAATCCATAAAATATTAACCTTTTCCTGGTAAATTGTAGTTATATCAATATACAGTGAGGAGAATAAATATTTCTAAAAATTGTCCTCAAACATTTAGAAGTGATTCACCATCAATTATCAGATGTAATACTTTAATGATTTCAATTATAAACCCGTTGGGAGAAAGAGGAAATGTAAGAAACTGGATTAAGAATAAGCAGTTTTAGGTAACTTACTGTAATTGCCTCTATAGTTTAGGAGAATGGCCAATGTATTCAGAAATACAAAGTAACCTTTATAGGTACCTGTTCAAACAGCGTGTTATGTAATGTATATATCCAAGTCTCCACTGACTGGACAATTTTACAAAATTCACAGAATGTCAAGATGACACAAATTTCTTCAAATGGATTCAGCAAGCATTTTCAAAACTCCAATGCCTTTGAAGTTCAAGTTAAAGGGAAAGAAAATGTCAGTTGAATTTGAAACTCCAAGTTCTTAGTTACTAAAGAGAATCTTCTGATCTTCTCCAGCATCTAGATCTATATTATGGAATAAAGGACACAAATGTTCTAACAATACCCCCTTTCTTATTCTGCCTTTAAAATAAGAAAACAGCTTCTCTTGAATCATAGTGTTTAGAGAGGATACCGAGAACATTAAAGGATCTATCATTATACCTAAGGCTTTGTCCTCCCAGGGATTAATTATCTCTGTTTTTAAAAGATTTTTCCTTAGAAACAGAAATTTGGGAGTATTTGCCTATTAACAACCCATCTTCACCTGATTAGTTATTTTCCCTGCATTTTAACCTATTAACATCCTACATCCCTGGCCTGGAATATTATGCAACAAAGCACTCCTTTTATAAGCCCTTAGGTGTCATGAAGGATTCTAAACACTTGTGGATAACAAAATGGGGTTTCATTCAGGTTGAATATTTCTGAGGAAGTTTCCTCACTGTCTGAGGTAACAGAGGAGGCTGAGTTTCTGAATCAATCTCTCAACTGTACTATAAACACATCAGGACACATTCCATCCATAGAAATGAACCTTGGAACTTGATGCACTTTCAGGCAGAGTGATATCTGGAGTTGGGAGGCAAATTGAAGCTGAAATCCTAGTGTCAACTTTTCCAGTGTAAAAATCCAAAAAAATAGATTTGTATGTCTTCCCATTCACATTTTTTGGAAGTCTAGAAATTCCACCAGCCATTCAATGGAAAAAGCCTCACCTAGGCGAAGAGACTTCAAATTTACTTCACACATAATTTCCAGGACAGTGGAAATTTGCAAACCAAATATATTCTGCCATCTTGCAAACATATATTACAGCAATTACTCTGCAGCCTGAAGAATAGGATGCCGTTTAAATCATATATCATAAGAGTTGTAACTGCTGCTATATTTTAATATATGGGTAAGCAGTGAATGGAGAACCAAGAAAAATAGCAATAATAGCAGCTATCATTACTGAACACTACGTCCTTTATTCTATTGACATAGTGTATTACATTGGTTGGTTTTCATATATTGAAACAACCTTGCACTCCTAAATAAATCCCACTTAGTCATGGTGTACATTTCCTTTTATATGCTACTGGATGCCATTTGCTAAACTTTTGTTGAGAATTCTTGTATTAATATCTATTTTCATAAGAGATGGTTGTAGTTTTCTTTTCTTATGATATCTTTGATTTTGGTATCAGGGTAATACTTGTATCATAGAATGAGTTGGGAATTGTTCTCTCCTATTTTTTAGAAAAACTTGTGGAGGACTGGTGTTAATTCTTCCTTAATTGCTTAATAAAATTCACCAGTAAAGCCATCTTGGCCTGGGTTTTCTTTGTGAGAAATATTTTTATTACTAATTCAATATCTTTACTTATTATACTATGTTCAGATCATCTATTAAGTCAATTTCAGTGGCTTATGTCTTTCTAAGAATGTATCCATTTTATCTAAGTCATATAATTTTTTGCATATAATGGCTTATAGTATCCCTTATAATCCTTTTCATTTTTGTAAGGTCAGTAGTAATGTCTGTCTTTCATTGCTGATTTTAGTAATTTGAGTCTTCCATCTCTTTTCTTTCTTGGTCAATCTAGCTACAGATTTGTCACTTTGGTGATCTTTTTAAAGAATCCACTTCGGTTTTGTTGTTTTTTTAGTCTCTATCTATTCTCTAATTCATTTGTTTTTGCTCTAGTCCTTGCTATTTCCTTTCTTCTGCTTCCTTTAGGTTTAGTTTGCTCTTATTTTCCAATGTCTTCATGGGAGCAGGTAAAGTGATTAATTTCAGATCTTTCTTCTTTTTTAAATATACACATTAACAGCTACAAATTTCCCACTAAGCACTGGTTTAGATGTATTCCATAGGTTATGCTATGATGTTTTCATCTTCCCTTATCTCAAAGTATTTTCTAATTTCCCTCATGATTTCCTCTTTGATGCATTGGTTATTTAAAAATGTGTTGTTTAATTTTTACATATTTGTGAATTGCCCAAATTTCTTCTATGATGATTTTTAATTTCATTACATTCTGGAGAACATACTTTGTCTAATTCTTTTAAGTGTATTGAGTCTTGTTTTAGGTTACATATGGTCTAACCTCGAGAATGTTGCATGTGCACTTGAAAAGAGTGTATATTCTGCTGTTGTTGAAGAGAGTATAGTATAAATGTAGTTAGGTGTACACTTAACAGAATACTGTTATATATAGTTGCTTTATAGCATTGTGTAAGTCTTGTTTTCTTGATGAACTTCTGCCTAGTTGTCAACCCATTACTGAGAGTGAGATATCAAAGTCACCACCTATTGTTGTTGAATTGTCTATTTCTCTTTTCTAAAGTGTTAGTTTTTACTTCATATATTTTGGGGCTCTGTTATTAGATGCACATAGGCCTATAATTATTACAGACATTATAACATGGCATTAGCACCCTTATAAAAGGTAAAATCCCCAGAGAGATCTCTTGCCCCTTTCACCATCTGAGATTATGGCAAAATGGCCGTCTAGAACCAGGAAATGGACTCTTATGCCAGATACCAAATCTGCCAATGCCTTGATCCTGGACTTCCCAAGCCTTCAGAACTATAAGAAAAAAATTTCTGTTGTTTATAAGCAGCTCTTGGTGAATTGACTGGTATACCCTTATAAAATATCCTTCTTCATCTCTAATAGCAATTTATGTCTTAAATTTCATTTTGTCTGATATTACTATTAGCTAAAGTATAGCCACTTCAGCTATCCTTTGCTTACTGTTTGTGTGGTTTATATTTTTTCAAGCTTTTGCTTTCAACTTATTTGGGTCTTTGAATCTAAAGGATGGCTCTTGTAGACAACCTATATTTGGATCATGTTTTTATATCTAGTTCAGATTAACACCAACGTAAATACAACAGTACATAGGAATAGCACTTCTATATAGCTCCATTCCCTCCCTTCTACTTTGTGTTGTTATTGCCATACAAATGACATCTTTACACATTGCATATCCATCAACACATATTTACAATTATTGCTTTATGCAGTTGTCTTTTAAATCAGATAAGAGGAAAACAAGTAACAAGCTAAAATATGTAAATAAGTCTTCTATATTTATCTATGTAGTTACGTTTGCCAGAGCTTTTGCTTTCTTCATGTAAATTCAAATTATTGTCTGGTGGAATTTTATTTCAGCCTGAAGGACTCCTTTAGTATTTCTTAAAGAGAAGACCTGCTAACAATAAAACCTCTCTGTTTTTGTTTGCCTAGGAATATCTTAATTTCTCCTTCATTTTCAAAGGGTAATTTCATTGGACAGGGAATTCTTGATTGATAGTCTTTTCTTTTCTGTACTTTGAATATGTTATCCAACTGCCTCCTGACCTTTATCACTTCTGATGAGAAATCAGCTGTTTGGCTAATGAGAATCTCTTAGATATGATGAGTCACTTCTTTTTTGCTGCTTTCAAGATTCTCCCACTCTGTTTGGTTTTTGTTAGTTTGATTATGATCCCATAATCTCTTTGAATTTATCCTATTTAGAATTTGAGGAGGTTTTTGGATGCATAGATTAACTTTTGGAAAAATTTTAAGCCATCATTTTTTTCCCAATATTCTTTCTGCCCCTTTCTTTTCTCTGAAAATCCCATTATACATATGGTGGTATTTTTAATGGTACTTGATAGGTCTCTGGGGTCCTGTTCATTTTTTCTTCCTTTCTCTTTCTGCTCCTCAGACTGTATGATTTCCATTGGCCTACCCAGGTTCACTTATTCTTTATTCTGCCTACTCATATCTGCTGTTGAGCTCCTCTAGTGAATTTGTCATTTCAATTATTGTACTTTTTACCTCTAGAATTTTCATTTGGCCCTTTTTTATAATTTCTATCTGTTTATTGAAATGATCTATTTGCTGAGACATCATTCTGATAATTCTTAGACATAGTTTTCTTTATTTCCTTAAATATATTTGAAATAACTAATTGAAAGTCTTTGTTTAGTATGTCTGAAGTCTGGGCTTCCCCAGAAACAGTTTCTGCCAACTGTGTTAGTCCCCTATGTATGGGCCATACTTTCTTGTTTTTTCCATGTATTATATTTTTCTTGTTGTTGAAAACTGGAATATACATATATATACATGCCTATATATAAGCATACATGTGTGTGTGTGCGTGCGCACATGCTCACACACTATGGTCAAAAAGTTTGTGTCCTTCCCAAAATTCATACGTTAAAACTTAATCTCCAATGTGAAGGCATTTGGAGGTTGGGGCTTTGAGTGATGATTAGATCATGAAATTGGAGCTCTCACCTATAAGATAGGCACCTTATCTAAGAGATCCCCCAAGAGAGATCTCTTGCTCCTTCCCCCATGATATATTATAACAAGAAGATGACCATCTAGAACCAGAAAGTGGACTCTCACCAGACCAAATCTGCTGGTGCCTTGATCTTACACTTTCCAAATTTCAGAACTTCAAGAAACAAATTCCTATTGTTTATAAGTGACTCAGTCTATGGTATTTTGTTAAATCAGCCCAAATAGACTAATACAATGTGGCAATCCTGGAAATCAAATTTTTTCCATCTCCAATGTTTATAATTGTTACTGTTTGTTGTTTGGTTGTTCTTGGGATTAGCATTTTTTAAACTAATTTTATGAGACATATTATTTTCTTATATGCAGTCACTGAAGTCCCTGCTCAATAAGATTATGGATAAGTTAATAATTATACAGAGATATCTATAGAACCAATAAGTCTTACAGTCTTTGCTAAGGGGTTCTATGTGTGTCTTGGGGCATGCCTTCACTACTCAGCCAGATAGCTTAAAACTTTACCTTAGCCTTCATATCCTGCTTTCACAGGGTCACAAGGTAAGCCAGAGGTGACAGCTTATGCTTTCCTGGGTCTTTCTTGAACATGTACAGAGTCCTGGGCATATGCACAGTCCTGATATTCATTCCTCAGCTTTGTATTTAAGCCTTTTGGTTAGCCTGTTGTTTTCCCTAATTTAATCCACTGCCTAAAGCTGCTGCAATGTTTAAGAATTGCCTCTGATTGTTTTTGATAAATTTCTCCAGGAAAAATGTTCCAAGTCAAGTCAAATAAAGATAGATTTGTGAGTTAGGTCTTCCAGGGAATGAACACATAGGTCAAATAGTAACAATCATCTGGGAAAGGAGCTTTGAAAAAGCTCCAATCTCATTCTGCCCTTCCCAGTGGTTGCCAAGCTGCTGGGTATCAATGTAATTGCAGGCCATTGTTTTTCAAGACTACAGAGAAGCTGTGCAGAGAAAATGAAAACAGGGTAAATTAAAATGCCAATAACCCTCCTTGTTATTGAGAGTTAGCCATTTTTATTACATAAGTACTCCTTGGACTGATATAAGCATTTGCTTAATTTCCAGAATTCTGAAAATGTTGACTCTGATCATTCTTTCCAGTATTCTCATTGCTAGAATGGAGGAGAGAATTTTAAAGGTTTTTAACTACACTTTTGTAACTGGCATTGACCTACTAAGCACTATGTGCTAGGATTCATGCCCAATTTCAGTGTTTGAAATACATTAACTTTAATTTCAACTATATTTCTGAAAGTATATATTCTTAGCCTCAATTTAAGGTTAAAGAAACACCCACAGGAGCAAGGGAAGGCTCCGCTGATTGTCTTGTGCCATACTCCCTGCAAGGACACATATTTAACAACTATCTACAGAGAAAACACACCTTCATAAGAACCAAAAATCAGGTGCGCACCCATAGAACCTGATAGAGGCCCCTCTACCTTTGGAAATGGGAGGGAAGAGTAGGAAGAACTGCATCTTGTGGCTTAAGTGCTGCCTCAGCCATAGTATAATAGAACAACATGTAGTCTTCTAAGGTTTTTGACCCTAATACCTGACTCCCAGATGGCACCTCTGGACCCATCCAGGGCCTGGGGAACTTGCCACCCTGAAAAGAAGGACACAGGTATGGCAGGCTTTGCTACCTGCTTGTTATAGATCCCCAGGGCCTTGAATGAACACTTACCCAGGAAGTGGTCATGGCAGGCCTTGAGCAAGACCCAGTGCTATATTTGTTTCAGGTCTAACCCAGTGCAATCACAGTGGTAGTGGCCACATTCACCTCCATCATTAGGTAGCCCACAACAGAGGGAGAAAGACTCCATCTAAGAGAAGTAAGGGAAGAGAACAAGAGTCTCTGCCTGATAATCTGGGGAATTCTCACTGATCTTGTCCAAGACCATCAAGGTGGTACCTCTACAGGTCTGCTTTATGCAGTTGTCTTTTAAATCACATAAAAGGAAGACAAGTAACAAGCCAAAATATGCAAATACCATCTTCTATATTTATCTATGTAGTTTCATTTACCAGAGCTTTTGCTTTCTTCATATGAATTCAAATTATTGTCTGGTGGAATTTTATTCAGTTTTACCAGGCTTGTCATGCCTCCTAAAGCAGATTCAGCTTACATTACAACATCCAAGTCCTTTCAAATATCTGGAAATCCTTTCCAAGAAGGATAGGTACAAACAAGCCCAGAACATAAAGACTACAATAAATATCTAACTCTTCAATGCCCAGGCACAGATGAACATCTACTGTTCTACCTGCATCAACACTACCATCTAGGAAAACAAGATCCCACCAAATGAAATAAATAAGGCATCAGGGACCAATCCTGAAGAAATAAAGATATGTGACCCTTTGGGCAAACAATTTAAAATTACTGTTTTGAGAAAACTCAAAGAAATTCAAGGTAACACAGAAAAGAAATTCAAAATGCTATCAAATAAATTTAACAAAGAGATTGAAATAATTTTAAAAGAATGAAGCAAAAATTCTGGAGCTGAAAAATGTATTTGGCATATTGAAGAATGCACCAAAGTCTTCTAATAGCAGAATTGATCAAGCAGAAGAAAGAATTAGTGAGCTGGAGGACAAACTGTTGAAAAAACAATACAGTCAGAGGAAACAAAAGAAAAAAATATAAAACAATGAAGGACACATACAGGATCTAGAAAATAGCCTCAAAAGGGAAATCTAAGAGTTATTGACCTTAAAGGGAAGGTAGAGAGATAGAGATAGGAAGTTTATTCAAAGGGATAATAACAGAGAACTTCCCAAACCTAGAGAAAGATATCAATATTCAACTATAAGAAGGTTATAGAACACCCAGAAATTTAATCCAAAGACCACTTCAAGGCATTTGATAATCAAACTCCCTAAGCTCAAGAATAAAGACCCTAAAAGCAACAAGACAAAAGAATCAAATAACATACAATGGAGCTCCAATATGCCTTGCAGAAGACTTTTCAATGGAAACCTTACAAGCCAGAAGAGAGTGGTATAACATATTTAAAGTGCTGAAGGAAAAAAAACCTTTTACCCTAGAATAGGATATCTAGCAAAAATATCCTTCAAGCATGAAGGAGAAATAAAAACTTTTCCAGACAAACAAAAGTTGAGGGATTTCATCAAGAGCAGACTTGTCCAACAAGAAATTCTAAAGGGAGTAAGTACTTCAATCAGAAAGAAAAGAATGTTAATGAGCAATAAGTAATCACTTAAAGGTACAAACCTCACTGGTCGTAGAAAGTACACAGAAAACACAGAATATTTTAACACTATAGCTGTGGTATGTAAACTACTCTTATCCTAAGTAGAAAAACTAAACAATGAACCAATCAAAAATAATAACCACAACAACTTTTGAGGACATAGACAATAAGATATAAATAGAAACAACAAAAAGTTAAAAAGCAGGGGGACAAAGTTATGATGTGGAGTTCTTATTAGTTGTTTTTTTTTTTTTTTTGCTTGTTTATTTGTACAAACAGTGCTAAGTTGTTATCAGCTTAAAATAATGGGTTATAAGATAGTATGTAAAAGCCTCATGGTAACCTCAGACCAAAAAACATACAATGGGTCCATAAAAAATAAAAAGCAAGAAACTAATCATATCACCAGAGAAAATTATTTTCACTAAAGAAGAATAGGAAGGAAAGAAAGAACTGACACAGGAACTAGAAAGAAATTATTTAGGCATATAGTGAGGGTAAGAGAGTCCTTGGTAAGGTTTCCGTGTTCATAAAAAGCAGCCCCCAAATCATTTCTTTTCTAACAAAGAAGAGCCTGAAAAATCAAGATGCAGACATAGAAAAGCAAGCTGTAAGTTTGCATGGGTGAATGCTGGCAGCTGTGCCAATAGGAAAAGGCTACCTGGGGGCCAGGCATGGTCAACATGGAGGCTCCATCTTCCCTTTTGTCAACCACATGTGCAGTAAAGAAGCAGGCAACATGGCACTGACCAGGTAGAGAACCCTTTTGTATAATAAAAGATTAGGGTGGGCAGCCAGCTTCGTCACATACCAATCTTTTGGGCCCTATGAAAATCAGACACTGCCTCCTCAAGTTCATCTATAAAACCCCATGCATTTCACCACAGAACTGGAGGACCCACTCAGGAGTCCCTCTGTCTCTGCAGAAGAGAGAGCTTTTCTCTCACCTATTAAACCTCTGCTTTTAGACTCACTTATTGTGTGTCCACACCCTCAGTTTCCTTGGAGTGAGACAATGAATGTAGGGTATTTACCTGAGACAAACAATGCTGCTTCATTTTGGGGCTCCACCTGGGATGCAGGTATAATCATCAGAAGGGTGAGTATAGGAGTAGACCATAACTCTATCCTTGCATTTTGAGGCTCTTGGCCTCCATTTTAATATCAAATCAAACCAAATACTGGGCCCTTGTCAGCCATTTAAAAATGGTTAGAGTGGCTGCCAGCCTTACAAGACCAGGGGACAAGCTTGCTGGGGAGATCATGGAGAATCCCCCAGCACCCTCAGGTTGCTGGGCATATTGGCTATGTTTCAAACCAGTTTCCCTTCCTGGAGCACCCAGCCATCGTATGGGGCTTAAAGAGGTCCCGGAGCAACTAAGAATTTCTGGCCAGGACTACACCCTGGTGTTATCTGAGGGCTTCTGGACCAACTCCAGCCTTCAACTGCCCAACCAACCGTCGGCAATAGGATCTCCAGCTTTTCTATCACAATTTCCTCCTTTCCTACCGGCAATTGTCATGTCTCCTATCATCTCTATATATGCAATGCTCCGGAAATTTTTACAGTTCAGCGAAATAGTCCTGTTAGGAAAGGTCAGCAAATGCCATAGTAACTGGGAACATAACTCAAGAGAACGCTGTTTTTGTGATTTTCTAGTAACAGAGGATCTTCCCCCACCCCCCACAGTGAGCTTATTCTCTGCGCTTGGTCTGGAGAGCACATGGTATTTCAAGGTCAACAGCGCCACCTAGTGGAATAGGAATCCTCTCCATGAGGCACATTGTTGGCCCTTTGCCAAAACACTTTAGCTTCCCAATTTTCCTCCCTTTTTGTGCCCTTCTACTAGGGACCAAGCTTTATGCCTTTTCTGTGAAAGAGAAAAACTCTGCCTTCAACAGTGATGAGGAAAATGTCTCTGAAAAAAAAGTTAGTCTCGATAGTGTCCCATCAGCAGGAAAACCACCATTTGGTCCCTACATTCTTTTAAGTCACCTACTCTGTCTCCAATTAAAATGGTACTTACATAGTAAGGAGACAAGAGTAAACGCTTTGGCATGGGCCATAATAACAGGATATACAGTTCAATCTAACGCACCCCCTCCATTAAAGGGGCCTTGCCCAAAGGCAACTATTACATAGTCTTTTTCAAGATCCCTCTTTCTGGGAGCCACATAGGCCATGTCAGTCTAAAAAGTCAACGGGAAATCATAAACAGAAGACTAGAGTCGCATGGGTAAGTGTGAGTAATCCCAATTGCTTCGTTCCTCCACTTCCATGGCTGGGGGTCATGCCTGCAACCATGGACAATATGTTTAATAATGTGCTGGAGTCCCAGGAACCAAGAGGGAAAAGAGTAGGGGGTAAACTCCTGCCGTCTTCCCCTCCACCTTGGGTCACAACAAAAGGAAGGAGATTACAGGGGTGACTTTTTTCTGGCTTCTCTTTCTAGATGGGTAACAAACCATCTTCAACCTGTACTCCTCTGAAGTGCATTCTGAAGCATTGGGATTCCTTTGACCTTGAGACTGGAAAAAAAGCAGCTCATTTTCTTTTGCACAAGGGTATGGGCTTGTTACTAGACCTTTGCAAGCACGGCACAATCAACTCAGCTCTTTTAGCAGTCATATCAGGTGGGCCCAATGGGAATGATTCCTCAAAACTAAAGAAACAGACCCCCCAGGAAACCCTTAAATGCAACTTCCAGATGCCCCAGCCCTGCCTGTTCCCCCTATTTACATCGTCAGCTATTTCAGTTCCACCACACAAACCCCAGACTTTTCTGTGGTATTTTTCCTTCCTCTTTACGTGGTTTAAAATGGCTCCTATCTCTTCTTTTATAATGTTCCTCCAAACTTGGAAAAGTTAATTTCCCCAAACGTTAAAATGCTGGGCTGAGAGTTGAGCTCAAGGGAAGGGAACCCAGAAACATGACAGTCCAGAAAAAGGGTAAAAGTTTTTTTTTTTTTCACCAGTCAGGATTTTGGCTTCTCTCTCCCTGTACAAAATAGTAACAGGAATAATAAGTTTCACTATTTATATTTTCTGTAAAATTTTAATTCATGAAAAATGATTTATGAGGTTGGTCTTAAGCTGTAGCCCATCCAGTGTGCTTTGTGTGTCTTTCTGTACGGCTTTGTCAAGAGAAAGCATATCTCAGGCTAGGATGCAGTCCTGGGACCCCATAAGCCTGCTGTTCAAGCCAGTCCCAACAAAATGGTCAGTAACAAACTTTGCTGCATCTTGTTTTATGTGCTTGGGAACATGACCTGTAACCATGTGGCAATACTACATTTTAGTCTCCACCATTTTACAATAGTGGCTCAGATTCAATTCTGGCTTGGGAAATGAATACTTTAATTTTACCATTTGCTGATTCTCTTCTCCCGTCATGAACAACTTCTATCTGCCTTTCTTAAATCTTCCTCTAAGTTGCCTTTAAGTGTTCTAGATTTTGTAATAGTGTAACTGCCCAATGAGTTCACCTTGCATGCTGCCCAGGCAGAGCTGATTTATCAAAACAGGGGAATTGTAGTAGAGTCAGTTGTGTGGGAGATGGGAGTTTTGTTGTTGCTCAGATGGGTCTTCCTGAGAGTTTGGGGAGCAGAGTTTTTGGGGACAGCTTGGTAGTGGGGGGAGCCAATGAGACAGGAATGCTGACTTGTAGAGCTAGAAATAAAATCATAGGGAGTCAAAGTTGTCTTCTCGTGCTAAATTAGTTCCCGGATGGGGGCCACAAAATTAGATAAACCAGTTTATCAATCTTGGTGATGCCAGCTGATCCAACAATGGCAGGGTTTGCAAAATATCTTAAGCACTCATCTTGGGAGCAGTTTAGAAGGGTCAAAATCTTGTATCCTCCAGCTGCATGACTCCTAAGCCATGGTTTCTAATCTTGTGCCTAGTTTCTTGGTCTGGTCCCTAGGCAAAAAAGGGAGGTTTATTTTGAGAAAGGGCTACTATTGACTTTGTTTTAAACTATAAACTGTAAACCAAGCTCTTCCCAGAGTTGATTCCACATATGCCTAGGGATGGGCAAGGACAGCTTGGGGGCTGGAGGCAACATACAGTTGGTTGGGTTGGATCTATTTCACTGTCTCAGTCACAATTTCGCAAAAAACTGTTTCATAAGCTGCTTACCCCTCCTTTGAAAATATCTTGTATACTCACGGTTAAGTCATAACCTAACTAAGGCTTTTGATTTCACCTGTGAGGTAACTTTTGGTAAAGTTCAAAAGCTGAACATCTTAACTGCTTAGTATGGCTAAAGTTGAGTAACAAGGGATTTAAAGGGATTTTCTTAAAGAGCTCTCAGCTTAAATAAAAGTGGATATCCAAGTTATTGGTGTATTTAAAAGGCCTTTATGTTTTTCTGTTCTTAGATCTTGTTTTTCTGAAAAATGTTTTTTCTGAGTCAACTAAATTCCTTTTCTCCATTTTGTTTTGCCACTCTTAATACTCTTAATGCATGCATTACTTAATGCACACACGAGAGGCCCCAAGATAATTTCTGATAGTGTGAGACTTCTTGGGAAAACAGAAAAGACACCACAAATCTCGTTTTGGGAGAAATCTCTGTTTTTCCTAATGGAATGCCAGGAATTAGTGGCAGATAGATCTCTCTCAAAAATCTGTTTTTGTCTTCCTTAAAAACTTCATGCTCTCCTAGCCCCACTCTTAAAGGGCCTCACCCAGAGACCAATATTCCAATTAGAGATAAATCTTATAACAACTGAGTCTTTTTCTGTTTGTCTCTGTAATTATGTGTGTTACTTGTAATGTCTATAAAAAGAGCTCCAATTGATTGGCTTAAAGAAAAATAAGCACTTAAATTAAATATTTTTTAAAGGAAAGATAAAAGCTGTAATGCCTTTTAGCTCAAGTGACTTTAACTTTTAAGGAATAAAAATAGTCTTAAGGATTATTAGTAAAATACAGGTGTCATCAAAATGCAAATAAGTGGTCTAAATCATGTAAGTCAGATACTAGGTTTACTAAATATTTCCATGTAAACTCCTGCTTTACAACTTTGTAAGGCCTGGGGACATACAAAATTATCCATGTCCTTAACTATGCTGGAAAAATTCAAACTTAATCTGTGCCTACTACATAATCAAAGCAACTTACCAGGTTTCACATTAAAGTTAAAAATTGCTAAAAGTTAGCATTATAACATGCAATTTAAACTACTAAAAATAGACGTACATGCAAGGTGTGTAAAACAGTAAAATATGTTTTTAGTAAAAGACTATAAGAAGGCATGAAAATGTACATTTTTCTAGGGATAAAGGATTGTCTTAAATTAGATATGATAAAGCTGAAGGTTTAAGCAAGTTTTGGAAAGATTATAAAAAATAATCTTGTGAAAAATCCCATGTGTAAACAAACTAATCTCAAAAGGGTATTATATGGTATTTTCATAAATTGAGCATTGAAATAAAAGCACAGCAAGGGTGTCTTAAAACACTGATCTGCCCTTTGGCAAAAGGGTTATAAAAGGTTTGTAAAAATTAATGGTCAAATTGGTTAAGATTAGATGGAATTGTCAATGAGCCTCCCTTCAAAAATTGGGTTCACATTAATAAACTAATACAAGGGTAAAATTTGGCTTTGAACAGGATTTTCATGTAATAGTAAAGGTTAATAAGAGGCTTTTCCCTTTTTTCATCATTATGGCAAAATAAATGACTTGTGGTAACCTGGAATTCTATTTCATAACATGAAGTGTTTTAAACCTCTAACATATATAACAGGCTTCCCAAAATCAAACCTCAGTTTCAACGTTGTCTTTCCTGAACTCTAGCTTCTGGATGCCACAGAGGGCCCCTGAAGCATTCTAAAGAAAGGTAAACGGGTTTATTTGACATGTTCAGGTATGTGAGATTGCCAAAACGATGTTTAACATTATTCAGGTTATATTTTAGTGAATAATATTAATATATGCTCCACAATTGTGTGGGATTTATAAAATTCTATTGTCTGAGTATGTGCTATTAATTATAATGAAGGTTGTTATGTTAAGTTATTGTACACCACTAAGATAACTAAACTTCTCTGTCAGTCATGTTTTTAATTTTAACTACCCTGGAAATTTTGTCATTCACAGACAATTGTTGTCTTGCTTTGTTCTTTTCAAAAGATGATTTAAAATCAAGCTATAGGAATTTAACACATATTCTCAAATGCAGGTTTCTTATAGCTTTGACAATTGTAACATTGGAAGAGAGAAAAAATGTCCAGGACTCATGAAGAGCTGAAACGTTCATGAATATCAAACAGGAGTTAACTCTATGAACTACACTAATAAAAGTCTGAAGTAATCTTTTCTACAAACACCACCATCCTATCATAATTTGGTTTTACTCAAAATGAGGACTGGAGATAGGAAAATTATGCTCCAATACTTATACATTTTTCATTAAATTATAGTCTCATTGGTTGTTTTTAAATTTTTTGATACATTTTAGGCTAACCCTGCTTATTCCTGTGAATCAAGTAGTAAACTCCTGCAGCTCAGAAAAAAACAAAAAGGGATGGGTAATATAAAAATCAGGACAAATATGCTAGTTCTTGGCAATTATCCTGCAAATCCTGTCAGGTAATGAAAGTAAATATGTTACCCATAACCCAGAGCTTTCTTTGGGAAAATAAAACCAAGGTAATTAACAAAAGCCAAGCCCCATACATCCAAGTCTTAACAAGCATAACCATAGTCACCAGTTATCAAGGGGTTACACAGCCTCAGGATTTTTTAAGCTGTCCTTACCCCTACCTTGTTTTATTTTGATACATGTCCTCTAATAACCCAAATTCTTTATTCTTGCCTAGAAGCCATTAAACTCCAAATGCTACTGAAGATGGAACATACATGAACACACCATTCTTCCAAGGATCCTTAGATTGACCCCAGGAGGAGCTGTTCCCCACACAGTGCCCCTCTTTCAGCAGGAAGTAGGCAGAAAGAGTTGTCATCCAACACCCACTAACAGCAGTTAGGGTTGCCACTGCTGATGGGGGGAAATAATACAGGGCTAGAAATAAATTACTTAGGCATATAGTGAGGGTAAGAGTCCTTGGTAAGGTTCCCCTTTTAATAAAAAGCAGCCCCAAAATCATTTCTTTTCTAACAAAGAGCAGCCTGAAAAATCAAGCTGCAGACATGGAAAAGCAAGCTGGCAGCTTGCATGGGTGAATGCTGGCAGCTGTGCCAATAGGAAAAGGCTAACTGGGGGCCAGGCATATTGAGCATGGAGGCTCAATTTTCCCATTTCTTTGTCAACCACGTGTGCAGTAAAGAAGCAGGCAACATGGCACCAACCAAGTAGAGAACCCATTCACATAATAGAAGATTAGGATGGGGCAGCCAGCTTCTTCACATGCTATGTAAATGGCACAGCTGGTCCAATCAATCTTTTGGGCCCTATGTAAATCAGACACCACCTCCTCAAGCTCATCTATAAAACCCGATGCATTTCACTACAAAACCAGAAGACCCACTCAGGAGTCACTCTCTCTCTCTGCAGGAGAGTTTTTCTGTTTTCTCTCACCTATTAAATCTCTACCATTAAACTCACTTCTTGTGTGCCCACATGCTCAATTTCTTTGGCATGAGAAGATGAACATTGAGCATTTACCCCAGACACACAACACCACTTCAGAAAGAAAAGAAGACCACAAAACAGAAAGATTAATTAGAAAATGGTAATAGGGAAGATGGTTGAAAGGAGGCAGGACTAGCTTGCAGTTCCTGCTCAGACAGAGAAGCATGTGAAGATGCACAGCATAACCTTTTGCTCCAGGAACTACCATATGAACATACCAGGAAACCTGAGAGAATCCACGGATGCTTTGAAGGAATTGAACCACTGCTGCAGACTCCCTGAGATGCTGAAAAACTGTGAGTCTACTTGTTTTCTTGATAGGGAGACTGGTGGTATGGGGAAAGTTTATAGCCCTGGTAGCCAGCTGCCTGAAAGTAGACTTGGTGCTGTTGTGGGGGCACAATGAGAGTGAGACTGGCCTTTAGCACTGCAGACTGTATGGAAGCAGGGTGAGGCCTGTAACTGCCAGCTTTGCCCCACTTTCCTGGTGACCTGTATGACTCAGCAGAGGCAGCCATAATCTCTCTGGGAACACAACCCCATTGCTCTCAGAACCAGACTCCCATCCCCACAGCAGCCACAGCAAGCCTCATCCAAGGAGAGTCTGAGCTCAGACATACCTAAACCTGCCTCTAACTGCTAGCCTTGCTCTACCCACCCTGATTGACAAAGACAAAGAACATAATCTCTTGGGAGCTCTATGGCCCTTCCCACCACCTGAGAAACCTGAAAACTTAACCAGGTGGCCCTAGGGCAAGTTTGTATCCTGTCTATAGTACCACACCTAATGTGTTCTTGAAAGCACCACCTCCTGGCTGGAGGCCAACCAACACCAAACCAGTGCACCAAACAAAAATACAACCAAGAAGCTTCACAAAATCCACCTCACTCCCCTGCTACCTCCACTGGAGCAAGGTGCTGGTATCCACAGCTGAAAGACTTGAAGACAGACGACATTAAAGGACTCTTTGTTGATACTCCCCAGTACCACTCTGGAGCACGGCAGCTCCACTGGGTGACTAGACCCAAAAGAGCAAAAACAATAACTGCAGTTTGCCTCTCAGTAAGGCCCATCCATAGGGGAATGGGGAGAATACCACATCAAGGGAGCACCTTGGGGGACAAAAGAATAGGAACAGCAGCACTTGAGCCCGATATCTTCCCTCTGACACAGTCTACCCAAATGAGAAGGAACCAGAAAAACAATTCTAGTGATATGACAAAACAAGGTTCTTTAACACCCCCAAAAGATCACACCAGCTCACCAACAGTGGATCCAAACCCAGATGAAATCTCTGAATTGCCAGAAAAAGAATTCAGAAGTTGATTATTAAGCTAATCAAGGAGGAAACAGAGAAATGTGAAGTCCAATTTAAAGAAATCAAAAACATGATAAAGGATATGAAAGGAAAATTCTTTAGTGAAATAGCATAAATTTAAAAAATCATAACTTCTGGAAATCAAGGACACACTTAGGGAAATGCACACTGGAAAGTCTCAACAATAGAATCAAAGAAGCAGAAGAAAGAACTTCAGAGCTCAAAGACAAGGCTTTCAAATTAACCCAATTTATCAAAGACAATGGAAAAATAATTTAAAAAAAAAATGCACAAAGCCTCCAAGAAGTTTGGGACTATGTTAAGCATCCAAACTTAAGAATAATTGGTGCTCCTAAGGAAGAAGAGAAATCTAAAAGTTTGGAAAACATATTTGGAGGAATCTTTGAGAAAAAGATCCCCCAGCTTTCCTAGGGATCTAGACATCTGAATACAAGAAACTCAAAGAACACGTGGAAAATTCATCGCAAAAGGATCACCGCCTATGTACATAGTTATAAGGTTATCTAAATTCAAGATGAAGGAAAGAATCTTAAGATCTGTGAGTCAAAAGCATCAGGTAACCTATAAAAAAAACTCTAACAGAGTCACAGCAGATTTCTCAGCAGAAACCTTACAAGCTAGAAGGGATTGATGTCCTATCTTTAGCCTCCTTAAACAAAATCAGCCAAGAATTTTGTATCCAGTGAAACTAAGTTTTAGAAATGAAGGAAAGATACAGTCTTTTCCAGACAAACAAATGCTGAGATAATTTACTACTATCAAGCCAGCACTACAAGAACTGCTAAAAGGAGATGAAAATTTGACACAAATCCTTAAAATAAATCAAATAGAACCTGCTTAACACATAAATCTCATAGGACCTATATAACAATAACACAATAAAAAAAAACAAAGATATTCAGGCAAAAAAATAGTATGATGAATAGACTAGTACCTCATCTTCATACTAACATTTCATGTAAAATGGCCTAAATGCCTCACTTAAAAGACACAGAATGGATAAGTCACCAACCATGTTTCTACTGTCTACATGAGACTCACCTAACACATAAGAACTCACAGAAACCTGAGTTAAATGGGGTAAAAAAAGATAGTCCAAGTAAATGGACACCAAAGGTGAGCAGGAGTAGCTATTCTTAGATCAGACAAAACAGACTTTAAAGCAACAACAGTTTAAAAAAGACAAAGAGGAACATTATATAATGATAAAAGGAATAGTCCAACAGGAAAATATCACAATCCTAAATATACATGCACCTAACACTGGAGCTCCCTAATTTATAAAACAATTACTACTAGACCTAAGAAATAAAATAGATGGCAACACAATTACATTGGGATAACTTAATACTCTACTGACAGCACTAGACATGTCATCAAGACAGAAAGTCAACAAAGAAACAATGGACTTAAACTACACCCTATAACAAATGGATTTAACAGATGTTTACAGAACATTCTACCAAACAACTGCAGAATATACATTCTATTCATCAGCATATTTTCCAAGATAGACCATATGATAGGTCACAAAACAAGTCTCAGTAAATTTAAGAAAATTGAAATTATATCAAATACTCTCTCAGACCACAGTGGGAAAAAAATTGGAAATTGACTCCAAAAGGAACCCTCAAAACCAGGCAAATACATGTAAACTAAATAACCTGCTCCGGAATAATCACTGGGTCAACAATGAAATCAAGATGAATATTAAAAAATTCTTTGAACCGAATGATAATAGTGGCACACTGTTATCAAAACCTCTGAAACACAACAAAAGCAGTGCTAACAGGAAAGCTTATAGCATTAAATGCCGACATTAAAAAGTCTGAAAAAGCACAAATAGACAATCTAAGGTCACACCTCAGGGGACTGGAGAAACAAGAACAATCCAAACCCAAACCCAGCAGAAGAAAAGGAATACAAAGATAAAAGCAGAACTAAATGAAATTCAAACAAAAAAAAAGATAAATGAAACAAAAAAAAGATAAATGAAACAAAAAAAACCTGATTATTTGAAAAGATATAGGGGTGGAGCCAAGATGGCTGAAGAGGAACAGCTCCAGTCTACAGCTCCCAGCGTGAGCAATGCAGAAGATGGGTGATTTCTGCATTTCCAACTGAGGTACCGGGTTCATCTCACTGGGCAGTGTCAGAAAGTGGGTGCAGGACAGTGGGTGCAGCACACCGAGCATGAGCCAAAGCAGGGTGAGGCATCATTTCACCCAGGAAGCGCAATGGGTCAAGGAATTCCCTTTCCTAGTCAAAGAAATGGGTGACAGACAGCACCAGAAAAAGTGGGTCACTCCCACCCTAATACTGCGCTTTTCCAATGCTCTTAGCAAATGACACACCAGGATATTATAACCTGTGCCCGGCTCAGAGGGTCCTACGCCTGTGGAGCCTCACTCATCGCTAGCACAGCAGTCTGAGATCAAACTGCAAGGTGGCAGCCAGGCTGGGGGAGGGGCACCTGCCATTGCCAAGGCTTGAGTAGGTAAACAAAGCGGCTGGGAAGCTCCAACTGGGTGGAGCCCACTGCAGCTCAAGGAGGCCTGCCTGCCTCTCTAGACTCCACATCTGGGGGCAGGGCATAGCCAAACAAAAGGCAGCAGAATCCTCTGCAGACTTAAATGTCCCTGTCTGATAGAGTTGAAGAGAGTAGTGGTTCTCCCAGAATGCAGCTGGAGATCTGAGAATGGACAGACTGCCTCCTCAAGTCAGTCCCTGGCCCCCCAGTAGGGGCAGATGGACACCTCACAGGGCTAGGTACTCCTCTGAGACAAAACTTCCAGAGGAACGATCAGACAGCAGCATTCACGGTTCACAAAAATCTGCTGTTCTGCAGAAACCTCTGAGGATACCCAGGCAAACAGGGTCTGGAGTGGATCTCTAGCAAACTCCAACAGACCTGCAGCTGAGGGTCCTGTCTGCTAGAAGGAAAACTAACAAACAGAAAGGACATCCACACCAAAACCCCATCTGTACGTCACCATCATCAAGACCAAAGGTAGATAAAACCAAAAAGATGGGGAAAAAACAGCAGAAAAACTGGAAACTCTAAAAATCAGAGCGCCTCTCCTCCTCCAAAGGAACACAGCTCCTCACCAGCAATGGAACAAAGTGGGATGGAGAATGACTTTAACGAATTGAGAGAAGAAGCCATCAGATGATCAAACTATTCCAAGCTAAAGGAGGAAGTTCGAACCCATAGCAAAGAAGTTAAAAACCTTGAAAAAAAATTAGATGACTGGCTAACAAGAATAAGCAATGCAGAGAAGTCCTTAAAGGACCTGATGGAGCTGAAAACCAAAGCACAAGAACTACATGATGAATGCACAAGCCTCAGTAGATGATTCGATCAACTGGAAGAAAGAGTAACGTGATGGAAGGTCAAATGGATGAAATGAAGTGAGAAGAGAACTTAAGAGAAAAAATAATAAAAAGAAATAAACAAAGCCTCCAAGAAATATGGGAGTATATGAAAAGACCAAATCTCCGTCTGATTGGTGTACCTAAAAGTGATGAGGAGAATGGAACCAAGTTGGAAAACACTCTGCAGGATATTATCCAGGAGAACTTCCCCAATCTAGCAAGGCAGACCAACATTCAGATTCAGGGAATACAGAGAACTCCACAAAGATACTCCTCGAGAAGAGCAACTCCAAGACACATAATTGTCAGATTCACCAAAGTTGAAATGAAGGAAAAAATGTTAAGGGCAGCCAGAGAGAAAGGTCAGGTTACCCACAAAGGGAAGCCCATCAGACTAACAGCGGATCTCTCAGCAGAAACCCTACAAGCCAGAAGAGAGTGGGGGCCAATATTCAACATTCTTAAGGAAAAGAATTTTCAACCCTGAATTTCATATCCAGCGAAACTAAGTTTCATAAGTGAAGGAGAAATAAAATCCTTTACAGACAAGCAAATGCTGAGAGATTTTGTTACCATCAGGCCTGCCCTAAAAAAGCTCCTGAAGGAAGCATTAAACATGGAAAGGAACAACTGGTACCAGCCACTGCAAAAACATGCCAAATTGTAAAGACCATCAAGGCTAGGAAGAAACTGCATCAACTAACGAGCAAAATAACCAGCTAACATCATAATGACAGGATCAAATCCACACATAAAAATATTAACCTTGAATGTAAATGGGCTAAATGCTCCAATTAAAAGACACAGACTGGCAAATTGGATAAAGAGTCAAGACCCATCAGTGTGCTGTATTCAGGAAACCCGTCTCACATTCAGAGAAACACACAGGCTCAAAATAAAGGGATGGAGGAAGATCTACCAAGCAAATGGAAAACAAAAAAAGGCAGGGGTTGCAATCCTAGTCTCTGATAAAACAGACTTTAAACCAACAAAGATCAAGAGAAACAAAGAAGGCCATTACATAATGGTAAAGGGATCAATTCAACAAGAAGAACTAACTATCCTAAATAGATATGCACCCAATACAGGAGCACCCAGATTCATAAAGCAAGTCCTTGGAGACCTACAAAGAGACTCAGACTCCCACACAATAATAATGGGAGACTTTAACACCCCACTGTCAACATTAGACAGATCAATGAGACAGAAAGTTAACAAGGATATCCAGGAATTGAACTCTGCTCTGCATCAAGCGGACCTAATAGACATCTACAGAACTCTCCACCCCAAATCAACAGAATATACATTCTTTTCAGCACCACACCACACCTATACCGAAATTGACCACATGGTTGGAAGTAAAGCACTCCTCAGCAAATGTAAAAGAACAGAAATTATAACAAACTGTCTCTCAGACCACAGTACAATCAAACTAGAACTCAGGATTAAGAAACTCACTCAAAACTGCTCAACTACATGGAAACTGAACAACCTGCCCCTGAATGACTACTGGGTACATAACGAAATGAAGGCAGAAATAAAGATGTTCTTTGAAACCAATGAGAACAACGACACAGCACACCAGAATCTCTGGGACACATTCAAAACAGTGTGTAGAGGGAAATTTATAGCACTAAATGCCCACAAGAGAAAGTAGGAAAGATCTAAAATTGACACCCTAATGTCACAATTAAAAGAACAAGAGAAGCAAGAGCAAACACATTCAAATGCTAGCAGAAGGCAAGAAATAACTAAGATCAGAGCAGAACTGAAGGAGATAGAGACACAAAAAACCCTCAAAAAATCAATGAATCCAGGAGCTGGTTTTTTGGAAAGATCAACAAAATTGATTGATCACTGGAAAGACTAATAAAGAAGAAAAGAGAGAATAAAATAGATGCAATAAAAAATGATAAAGGGGATATCACCACCGATCCTACAGAAATACAAACTACCATGAGAGAATACTATAAAACACCTCTACCTCTATGCAAATAAACTAGAAAATCTAGAAGAAGTGGATAAATTCCTTGACACATACATCCTCCCAAGACTAAACCAGGAAGAAGTGGAATCTCTGAATAGACCAATAACAGGCTCTCAAATTGAGGCAATAATTAATAGCTTACCAACCAAAAAAAGTCCAGGACCGGATGAATTCACAGCCGAATTCTACCAGAGGTACAAGGGGGAGCTGGTACCATTCCTTCTGAAACTATTCCAATCAATAGAAAAAGAGGGAATCCTCCCTAACTCATTTTATGAGGCCAGCATCATCCTGATACCAAAGCCTGGCAGAGACACAACAAAGAAAGAGAATTTTAGACCAATATCCCTGATGAATATCGATGCAGAAATCCTCAATAAAATGCTGGCAAACCGAATCCAGCAGCACATCAAAATGCTTATCCATCATGATCAAGTGGGCTTCATCCCTGGGATGCAAGGCTGGCTCAACATACCCAAATCAATAAACGTAATCCAGCATATAAACAGAACCAACGACAAAAACCATATGATTATCTCAATAGATGCAGAAAAGGCCTTTGACAAAATTCAACAACCTTTCATGCTAAAAATTCTCAATAAATTAGGTATTGATGGGACGTATCTCAAAATAATAAGAGCTATCTATGACAAACCCACAGCCAATATCATACTGAATGGGCAAAAACTGGAAGCATTCCCTTTGAAAACTAACACAAGACAGGGATGCTCTCTCTTAGCACTCGTATTCAACATAGTGTTGGAATTTCTGGCCAGGGCAACCAGGCAGGAAAAGGTACTCAATTAGGAAAAGAGGAAGTCAAATTATCCCTGTTTGCAGATGACATGATTGTATATCTAGAAAACCCCATTGTCATGTCCTTTGTAGGGACATGGATGAAGCTGGAAACCATCATTCTCAGCAAACTATCACAAGGACAAAAAACCAAACACCACATGTTCTCACTCATAGGTGGGAATTGAACAATGAGAACACATGGACACAGGAAGGGGAACATCACACACTGGGGTCTGTTGTGGGGTGGGTAGAGGGGGGAGGGATAGCATTAGGAGATATACCTAATGTTAAATGATGAGTTAATGGGTGCAGTACACCAACATGGCACTTGTATACGTATGTAACAAACCTGCATGTTGTGCACATGTACCCTAAAACTTAAAATATAATGAAAAGAAATTAATGAAGAAAAGAAAAAAAAAAAAAAGAAAGAAAAGATAAGACCTGGCATGGTGGCTCACACTTGTAATCCCAGCACTGTGGGGGGCCAAGGCAGGCAGATCACTTACAGTCAGTAGTCTGAGACCAGCCTGGCTAACATGGCAAAACCCCATCTTTACTAAGATACAAAAATTAGCTGGGCATGGTAGTGTGCACCTGTAATTCCAGCTACTTAGAAGGCTGAGGCAGGAGAATCACTTGGACCCAGGAGGTGGAGGTTGCAGTGAGCCAAGATTGTGCCACTGCACTCCAGCCTGGGTGACAGAGTGACTGTGTCTCAGAAAAAAAAATGAAAGAAAAGAATAAATAAAATTGATAGACTGTTAGGGAGCTTAACCAAGAAGAGAGCGATACAAATAAGCTCAATTAGAAATGAAACAGGTGCTATTAGTACTGATACCACAGAAATACAAGATCATTCAAGGCTACTATGAACACTTTGATGTGCATAAACTAGAAAATCTAAAGGAGATGGATAAATTCCTGGAAATATACAACCCTTCTAGACTAAACGAAGAAGACATAAAAACCCTGAACAGATCAATAACAAGTAGTGAGATTGAAATAATAATTTAAAAAATGCCAACAAAGAAAGTCTGGGACCAGCCAGATTCACAGGTGAATTCTATCAGACACTCAAAGAAGAATTGGTACCAATCTTACTGAAACTATTCCACATGATAGAGAAAGAGGGAAACATCCCTAAATAATTCTATGAAGCCAGTATCACCCTAACACCAAAACTGGGAGAGGACATAACAACAACAACAACAACAACAACACAACAAACAAATATCCCTGATGCAAAAATCCTCAACAAAATACTAGTTAGTCAAATCCAACAGCATATCAAAAAGATAATCCACCATGATCAAGTGGGTTTCATATGAGGGATGCAGGCAATGTTTTGTTTGGGGCTCCCTCAGCAGTGATATTATGCCTGTGTTTGTAGTGATCCATCTGACCCTTAGCTGGTGCACTGGTCCACAGGGAAAAAAATAGAACAAAAGGGAGTTGGTGGTTTCTATGGTTTTGAACTCTTGCTTATAAGTATTTAAGTAAATGATTAAAAGCTTTACTGTTTCTTTTATTTTTGGCTTTTTGCTTTAATGGACTACTCTAAACCTGAGAGGTCAACTCCATCTCTCCAACTCAGTTTAGCCCTTGACATTATATATAAATCATGTCATCTGTGAATAATGACAGTTTGATTTCTTCTTTTCCAATTTTAATATTTCTTTTTATTTTCCTGTCTTATTGTACTGGATAAGACCTATAATACTATGTTTAATAGAAATGGTGATAGTGGACCAGGCATGATGGCTTTCACCTGTAATGCCAGCACTTTGGGAGGCTAAGGCTGGAGGATCCTTTAAGCCCAGGAGTTTGAGACCAGCCTGGGTAACAGTGAGACCTCTGTGTCTACAAAAAATGAATTTTTTAAAAATTAGCTGGGTGCAGTGGTGTGTGCCTGTAATCCCTGCTCCAGCTATTTGGGAGGCTGAGGTAGGAGGATCACTTGAGCCCAGGAGTCAAGGTTACAGTGAGCTGTCATCGCACCACTGCACTCCAGCCTGGCTAACAGAGGTTAGCTAACTCTTCAGGGTGATCAAACAGGGAGCTCAGAGGCCAAGCAGCCATGTGTTTATGGATGCAGTGTGTTCTCCCACCTTCATGTATTTTCGAATTTGCATTTCTCTTTTATAAGGGAATTATCCTGTTCATTTTCCTACCTGCTGGGATGACTATCTGATATAGCTCAAGACATTGGGTATTTCCCATCTCAAAATAACGCATGTCCTACACAGCCATAAAAAAGAATGAAGCCCTCAAAAAAATATAAGAATGAAATCATGTATTTTGCAGCAACGTGGATGGAGCTTGATGCCATTACCTTAAGCAAATTAATGCAGGAACAGAAAACCAAATACCGTATGTTCTCACTTATAAATGGAAGTTAAACATTGTGTACACATGGACACAAAGAAGGGAACAATAACCAGGCACAGTGGCTCACGCCTGTAATCCCAGCATTCTGGGAGGCCGAGGTGGGTGAATCACTTGAGGTCAGGAGTTCGAGACCAGCCTGGCCAACATGGTGAACCATCTCTACTAAAAATACAAAAATTAGCTGGGCGTTGTGGCAGGCACCTGTAATTGCAGCTACTCGGGAGGCTGAGGC
Source organism: Homo sapiens (assembly GCF_000001405.40). Lineage (NCBI taxonomy): Eukaryota > Metazoa > Chordata > Mammalia > Primates > Hominidae > Homo > Homo sapiens. Next base: position 53,371 of record NW_017363816.1, read on the forward strand.
AGGAGAATCACTCGAACCCAGGAGGCAGAGGTGGCAGTGAGCCAAGGTCGAACCACTGCACTCCAGCCTGGGAGACAGAATGAGACTCCACCTCAAAAAAAAAAAAAAAAAGCAGTGGCAGGGGGAACAATAGACATTGGCACCTAATTGAGAGTACAGGTTGGGAGAAGGGTGAGAATTGAAAGCTACCTATCAGGTATTTTGCTAATTACCTGGGTGACAAAATTATCTGTGCACAAAACCCCCACAACATACCATTTACCCATGTAACAAATCTGCACATGTACTTCTTGAACCTAAAAGTCGGAAGAAAAAAAGTGGTAAAAAAATAATAACAGTATCTCCTTCAGTAATAAAAGCAGTTTCAACTGAAGTCCAATAATAAATGAGCAATCACTTTTCAAATAAGTGTGTACTTTTTAGCTGTTTTGGGAAACTCCCCAGTCCAAAATGCCAGTGGTTACCACTAATTAGTAATTCCATATCTTTTGCAGAAGGCATTGTTCAGAAGAGACATTTTTCCTCATGACTCCCCTTTTAGGATCAGAGAAGCATCACACAGAAGCTCTCCAGCAGTTTTTCTTTCTTGTCTCATGGGCTGGAATTGTGTCACATGCCTATGTAAATCACTGGTAAGTGAAGAGCATTATTATAAATGGTTTCAACTAATCCTGATTCACACCTATGGCCTGGATGGACTCCACTTTGTCCCAAACACATGACCACCTCACACCAGAACAAAATGGATTTCTATTAAAGCTGAATAAGATAGAAAATAGCTTCTCTGTGGGTAAATAACTGCCTACCCATCCAACAGGCCTTTATTGATTACTTCTTACCCTCTTGTATCTTTAACTTCTCTTTCTTTCTCTCTCTGTCTCTCCCTAGCTTCTTCCCACTAACATTTAAACATCAATTTTACCCCCTCTTAAAAAAAAAAAAACTATCCTCAACCCCACTTCCCCCTGAAGTGACTAACGTGCATGATTGCAAATAATATAGTGACTATTTGCATTATTATAATTGGTTTCAACTAATCCTGATTCACACTTGTGGCCTGGATGGACTCCATTTGGCCCCAAACATATGACCACCTAACACCAGAACAAAACAGATTTTTATTAAAGAGGAAGAAGATAGAAAATCACTTTTCTGTGTGTAAATAACTGCCTACCCATCCAACAGGCCTTTATTGAATACTTCCTGCCCTCTTGTATCTTTAACTATTTTTTTCTTTCTCTCTCCCTCTGTCTCTCCCTAGCTTCTTCCCACTAGCATTTAAACATCAATTTTCCCCCCTCTTAAAAAAAAAAAAAAACATCCTCAACCTTTCTTCCCTCTTTAGTGACTACTTTGGTTCTCATGCAACTCCACGTAGTAATATTATTCTGTTTTGCGCAAGAGGAAACTGAGGTACAGAGAAGTTGAGTAACTTGCCCAAAATCACACAGCTTGGCCAGTAGTTTATAAAGATAGCCAACATTATAGCAGCATGGAAAATGCAAACATCTCTCTCTCAATTTAGTTCAGAAAATACTTTCTAAATATTTTCCATTCATAATGCACTAGATGGATTTCACATGCTGTCTTTTGGTATTCTCCCCAATAACCTTTATTTAAGGCTGTTTTACAGGCTCAAGTACGTTAAGGGATCTTAAGTGGTAAGCATAGAGCCATGTGGTAAATAGAAGTATTTGAAATCATACCCAGGTTATGTCTATTGTATATTATTTCTCAAGACCCTACCAGATCCCATTCATGTAGAGGATGTCCCTGGTCCTAAGTCTGAATTCTGTTCAGTCTTCCCTTCCACTCCACAGGCATCAGGAAATTTCCAGAATCAACTATTCCAAGACAGCGCTGAAGCAATTCCCCTGGATGAGGGCCGAAGGTAGGAAAGGAAGATGAGAGGCATTCTCTTTTCTCTATGCCTCTTTTATAAACTACTGATGCCCATGTTATCTGATGGAGGAATTTTCTCTGCTTGCCATTGGTGGTGGAATCAAAGTTTGCTAAGCAACGCAAAGCTGGTATGTGTCAGCACCTCCTCTCCCATCACACCCAATGGATGAGACACAGCATGGAATCAGTATATAATCACATATAATGGCATAATAGTTAGAGCTCAGGCTTAGAATTAAATCAATCTGGATTTAAATTTGAACTGCCAGTTATTTGCTCTTTGACCTTGACCAAATGATACGTAGAGTGAGCATCAATTTCCTTACATATAAAATGGAATAAATACCTTCCTCACAGGGACTAGGTGTGAATTAGATGAGATTCCACACTTAGCAGAGTGATAGTGCTGATAATTTGTTAATTTTCAGTGTATCCTCATTTCCTTTATCTCCTGTAACCACTTCAGGGAATCATCACTTCATTGTCAGATGTTTTAGTGGAGAGAAGATCACTCATAGGAATATTTCATAATTATGACTTATGAATCAGTATTTAATACTTCAAAATCTGGCTTTTCTTATCTCCTAATTTCTAGAACTCCCTACATCCTACCAACCATAAGAGTAAGGAAGACAAACTATATATATATGAGTTGAGACAATTCTTGCCAGAAGCCTGAATCAATCACACCATGAGTTCTGATTTCCTTTACAGAAAATGATAACAGATAACAGTAAGCCTTTATGCTTCCCCAGCCACCATTCTAAGTACTTTACATGCATTATCTCATGTAACCACCGCAACAGTCCTAGAAGGCAAGAACTATTATCACCCCCCTTTTTACAGGTGTAGAAACTCAAGACTGAGGAAACAAGGTCACCTAATTAGTAAGAAGAATCAGTAGAGGTTGGGCACAGTGGCTCAGGCCTGTAATCCTAGCACTTTGGGAGGTCAAGGCAGGTGGATCACCTGAGGTCAGGAGTTCGAGACCAACTTGGCCAACATGGCGAAACCCCATCTCTACTAAAAATACAAAAATTAGCCAGGTGTGGTGGCAGGTGCCTATAATCCCAGCTATTCAGGAGGCTGAGGCAGGAGAATCGCTTAAACCCAGAGGAGGAAGTTGCAGTAAACCAAGACTGCACCACTTCACACCAGCCTGGGCAAAAGAGCAAAACTGCATCTCCAAAAAAAAAAAAAAAAAGTCAGTAGAACTTTTACTCTTAAGCATGATTCAGATTTATAATACTAAAGAGCAGTTTCTCTAGCCTACATGTCTATCTTTGGAGTATTAATAAAATAGCAGTTTTTCACTGATGTAGATGTCTTCACATGTTATCTTGCTCAATTCTCCCTATAACTCTATGGGGCAGGTATTATTAGAGTTGTTTTATAGGCTCTGATTGGCCGATGGATCCATACCCACAATGACTAGAACATTCTGGGTCTTGGGTCTCAGGATTTAAGATCACTTTCTAACCACAGTCATAAGAAAGGCTGTTAACCTAGCCTAGCTGGCTTTCCCCCAACCCTTTGGTCACAGATGTCATGGTCACAAGAGAGAACAGGATAAATTGTTTTGGCTACCACCTTGGCTGATGCTAATTCTAATCTCAGAGCATTCCTAACTCCTCGCACTTGAATAATATCCATTAAATATTTTCCTGAATCCACATCTGAAAATGTTGATAAGGACAGACTCAGGATTTCTGACCCAGGAAGACCACAACCAGCCACAAATCACAGATGCTGTTTCCTTCTGAATTTCCAAATTTGGATCCAGACTTCCCAGGACCAAAGGAGCTGTCTCCAGCCTGTGCACACGCTTACCAAAAAAAAAAAAAAAAAAAAAAAAAAAAAGACTTAAAATAAGTGACTTAAAATAGAGACCTGCTACTTCAAAACAACTTCGATTTGTTGCTGATTTCATTGTGCTTGCAATCCCAGATTTTTCTGTTTTAACTTAGTTTTCAATATTCAGGGCTATAAATTGGGTTAGACCTCAGATCAAGTGATTTTTATAATACACTTCACCTGGTCACCAAGAAAGCCTGGCAAATGTGTTCTAAGGAGACTTGGGGAAAGATGTCCTTCAATGGCTAGGTATTTTTCCCATCAATATCTGTTGAAGACTAATGGAAACCGAAGTCAGCCTTTGGAAGCTGACAAGAGAAATTCACATTCATTTCTGAGCTCAGATGCTTGTGTCTCACACTCACAGGATGATGTGACCCAACAGAGCAAAATAAATCCAGCCCATGAACTCAGCTGTATTTAGGAAGTTTCTCTTACCAGTCATTTTAAGTCACCAATTGAGGAAAACATATATAATACTTAAGTTAAAAATGGATGAAATCTGCAAAGCAGCAGTTAGTGATGAGCCAGTGAATGCTAACTCCATGCAAACTGCTCTCTACAAATAAGATGTCTTGCTATTGAATGACCCCATTACTTCTTTACCTTATTAGTCATTTTTTCTCAAGATAATACTAGGGTCTTCAATTTACAGGTGAGTTATATTTAAACATGTATTTCTACTGTTACAGATTTTTATGAATAATGACCAAAATAGTCCACTAACAAAAACATTTACCCAGGATATTATAGATCCTGACTTGATAATAAAACTTTTATTAAATTATTTTACTGACTACAAAGGTAATAAATTCTCTCTGTAGAAAACTAAGATCAGAAACTCTTTAAAAGAACATTAAAATTTCCCTTAATCCCATAATTCATATAAGCATTATTATCCTTGATGTACTTTTTTCAGATATATTTTTAGTGGATATATGGCATTTTAAACAATTTGGGTCATAATATATAAACTGTTTTATATTTTGTATTTCCCACTCAATGTTATATTGAAATACTCTTTCCACCCCATTAATTCTTTTGCAAATAACTTTAATGTCCACTTGACATATAATAACTATAATTCATTTAACTGTTTCTCTTTATGTATATTCGGGGTTTTTTTTACCTTTTTATTAGTATAAAAATATTGTGAAACACAAGTTGTACACATAATTTTGTCTATATTTTTTATCTAGAGTAGATTTCTAAACATAAGGAATACAGTGCCAAGGGTCATAACTAGTTATAAAACCCTTATTATAATAAGGGGTCAAACTTCCTTCTAGAATGTTTTATGTCAACACACATTCACCACCACTGAATAACACAACTATCATAAATCTTTGCCAATTTGTCAGTATTTCACTGTTTTAAAATTGCATTTCTTTGGTAACTTTTGAAATAGAGGACTTTTTAGATGTCTAATTTTTTTCTGAGAATTATCTATTAGTTTTCCCCTTATTTACACCTTAATTCACACATTAATGGTGTGAGTAAACATTTTAATTTGTTAATAACTGCTTCTATAATAACAGTTGTCATACTTGTTGCAATCATTTTTCTAAGGTGTTCCATAACTTTATGTAGCTGAGCTCATCAGTTTTGTTTTGTATCTTATACCATTATATTTTCATTTTAAAATATCCTTTCTTATGAAATATATATTGATTTTATTTTTTTTTTGGTTTTGAAAAGATCTATGTTTTATCTGAAGTCTTTAATACATGTTATTCTTTTTTCTCTTTTTCTTTGGTTCTTTTTTTGATGATTCCATTAAGAAGAGACTTATTTTGTTTTGAAAAATACCTATCTAGTTATTTTTAAATCTTTTATGAGCTACACATAATACCTTTCTAAATATTATTCACAAATAATATCCTTTGGTGGTATTACCATATTTGTTTCTTATTGAGCTCATTTCTATTCTTCAGTTTTGTTAGTATTTTTAAAATATCAAAAAGCTTTTGAATTTAGTTATCAAGTCTAATTTTTTATTGCCTGATGTGTTTCTGTATTACATCATTTTTCTGAATATAATTGCTTGTTATTTACCTTGAGTTGAGTACTGAGTTCATTTATTTTCTCTCCTAATACTACAACGATAAATAATTTAAAGATTAAAAATAATGATATGCAAAATTTTGTTTACTTGTGTTCTTTTATCAAGATTTGGAGTACAGGGTAAGTTATAGGTTTACCTTTAGGATACAAAGCTTGATATATTTAATCATGATATTCTTTAATTCCTCCATTCCATTTGTTATTTTTCCCATTTTATATATAAAAAAAGTTTAGGCACAGTGAGACTAAGATCTGTACACAATATCATGTGGCTAACAGTCAGTGAAAATAAAATGTAAAAATAAGGCATCAGATTCTAAAAAACACACTCTGTCCAATAAATTATGGTGCTTTTGTTCCCTCACCTTAAAATTATGTTTTCTAAACAGATCCATATAATTTTTCACAGTCATCCTTAAATTGGGTTTTGATTTGCAAAATGCCCTGAATTCTAAACATGACAGTTCTCCAGGTGAATTCTAAAGTTTCAAATACATCTGGGGAATGTTGCCTTGCATCATGCTGTTTTATTCTCTTCCAGGATATGTTTCCAGAAGTGTTTGATGACATTCTTGGGCCATTCTGTTTGGATGTGGCATAAATTCACAAATCTAACTACCAGGGCTTATCTTACTCCAGCCTCAGATATTCACTCAGTTCAGCTAATTCTGAAATGTGGTGGCATCATCCTTAATTTCAAATTGAACTCACCTGATGTTTTATAGTTACCCCGAAACAAGTTAAAAATAACCAGAATAACAAACTGCACTGTAGCCTCATGAATATGAGTAGTTAGAAAAAAGAAACTGGGAAATTAAATCACGAATTAAAGCCTCTGCTCCTCCTCTTTTTACGGTTGTTTTTCTATGGGAAAAAAATACTATAACGGTGATTGGGAGAATATCCATCCATGTACAATTATAGGAAAAAATGCCTGACATGTCAACATCATAAAATCATGTTTGTGTGTATGAATGAATGTGTGTCTGTGTGTGTGTGTGTCTGTGTGTGTCTCTGTGTATGAGAGAGAAGAGGAATGTGTGTTCATTATGTCACGAATAATATGGCTCAACTTAAAGTCTTGGGTTTATAGATTTAGGGATTCTATCAGTGTTACAGAAAACAGTCCTGACCAAAATTATTTTATTGTTCAAAATGTATGTGTCAAATTGCAATCCTTGTGCTATTCGCAGATAAATCAATTATCCAAATGCCAAACTGGATTTATGGAGCAAGTGAACAACGTAACGGAATTTTCTTGCTTGGCCTGACATAGAACACAGGGGCACAGAAACTCTTGTTTGCTGTGTTTACACTCATCTAATTTCTCACCATGGTAGGCAACCTACTCATTGTGGTGACAATCACCACCAGCCCAGCCCTGCACTCCCCCATGTATTTTTTTCTGTCTTTCTTGTCCTTCATAGATGGCTGCTGCTCTTCTACCATGGCCCCCAAAATGATATTTAACTTACTCACTGAAAGGAAACTATCTCCTTCAGTGCGTGCATGACCCAGCTCTTTGCAGAACATTTCTTTGGGAGAGTTGAGATCATTCTGCTCGTGGTAATGGCCTATGACCGCTATGAGACAATCTGCAAGCCCCTGTACTACCTGATCACAATGAACAGGAAGGTGTGTGGCCTACTGGTGGCCATGGCATGGGCCGGGGGATTTCTTCATGCTCTGATTCAAATGCTTTTAATAGTCTGGCTGCCCTTCTGTGGCCCCAATGTCATTGACCATTTAATCTGTGACCTTTTCCCTCTGCTAAAACTCTCCTGCACTGACACTCACGTCTTCGGACTCTTTGTTGCCGCCAACAGTGGGCTGATGTTTATGCTCATTTTTTCTATTCTTATTACCTCTTATGTCCTAATCCTCTGCTTACTAAAGACTCACAGCACAGAAGGACAGTGGAAGGCTCTCTCTACTTGCACCTCCCATATCACTGTAGTCATCCTATTCTTTGTTCCCTGTATATTCATGTGCCTTTGACCCATGATCACCTTCCCTATTGATAAAGCTGTGTTTGTGTTTTACACTGTGGTAACACCCATGTTAAACCCTTTAATCTATACTCTCAGAAGCACAGAGGGGAAAAATGCCATGAAGCAGCTCTGGAGCCAAATAATCTGGGGTAACAATTTGTGTGATTAGAGAAGATAAACACAGAACCTACTCATATTTTAACAACAGGTATGACTAATGAAAAGGGTAAAGGTCTTGAGGTCAGAATATGTGAGTTTAAGTATATTTTATTCCCCTTATTTTCTGGAATCTTTAATGATCCTTTTTCATAAAAGATCAGTATCTGATTAAATGATGACTAATGTTTCTGCCAGTTAGAAACTTCTTCACATTTACAAATTATTAATTGCGGGACATTGCTAGTCAACATAAACATGTTACAGTGTATGGAAAACCCATGAGTTTATGTGTTTAGTAGAACAATTATCTGCAAAGCTTCGGTATAGAGTATATAACTAACAGGCCAAATAATTAGAATAAACAAAAAGCCCTAATGGCTAAATCTTTTGTTGAAAATGCATAGTTTTAATCCCAACTAATAAAATTGAAGTAGAACTATTATTGTGAAAGAGAGAGATAGGTGAGAAATGATTGGGTTTTGAGGAATGAGAGTTAAGGCAGCACTCATCCAAAATGAATGCTGTTGTGTTCACAACTCCAGGGGTGATCACTTACATTATAATCTGGCTCTCTCCAGAATAAATTATTTTCTCTAAAGTCAAAGAGGGGTAGAAAATTCATCCAGGTACAATCATAGAACAATCTTGGACATTATTTCTCAGGTAGAAGATGTTTTGTGAAGCACTTTTTTTCTGTCGAAAATATCCTATACACCACTTCACCTCAAAAATGGCTTTTATTGGATGGATTTGTGCCTTAGCTAATAGAAACAAAGTAGCTGACCCAAAAGAGAATTGGTGGCTGGGTGTGGTGGCTCATGCCTGTAATCCCAACACTTTGGGAGGCAGAGACAGGCAGATCACTTGAGGCCAGGAGTTTGAGGCCAGCCTGGCCAACATGGTAATACCCCATCTCTACTAAAAATAGAAAAATTAGCTGGGCTTGGTGGCCATGCCTGTAATCCCAGCTACTCAGGAGGCTGAGGCACAAGAACCACTTGAACCCAGGGAGCAGAGGATGCAGTGAACCAAGATTGCGCCACTGCACTCCAGGCTGGGCAACACAGTGAGACTCCATCTCAAAAAATGAAAAAAAGAGAACTGGTGATATGTGAGTAATTAAGGCAGAAATTCTGCACATTCAAATTTGAATAAAGAACTGCAGCCCAACTGCAGACCATTGAGATTGGAAGTAATTTCAGATGTGGATACAGTGCAATCCTAAGAAAAATAATCCAGATTTTTAAAAAGATCTAGACCAGAGCCAGGCCAGAAGTCCTATAAATCTCAGCAACTTCACTTCTACCTTCGTAAGAACTGAATTAATCCACTGGACTCCATAAGCATACTTAACTCTTATGTTAAGTATATATTACGTACAAATTAATATTCATCAGTTTAGTAAACAATTTATTCCAAGGAGATGAGTTTTTCTCAATTGTGGCTAACCCATTTTCTGGTCATGAAATATCTATGTGCTACCACTATGTTTTCCAGCCCACTCCTTTTTAAGGAAAGCCATGTTTGCAGAAGTGATATATGTCACATTGAGGCATAACCATTTAAGAGCCAGCAAGCTACTCCCCAGCTTTATTTTCCCTGCTGCAGCAAACCTGGGAGACACAAACTGATACGAAACAGCTATACAGAAGCAACAGCCTGGATTTCTGAGTAACTACATGGAGAACAGTTCCCTAGAGCATCGCCTAAACCACAGCTCAGCAGATTTGGCTTGAACAGGAAATAAAATTGTATGTGTTAAACCACTGATAGTTCAGAATTCATATGTTACCACAGAAAAATGCAGCTTATGCTGACTAATGATACAATTAACCTTATCTTTTAAAGGACTTAGAACAGTTAACATAACTTTTGCAATTATCTTGATTGTCAAATAGCATAGGATGGGTAAATACCAATCCTTGCAAAATCAAGTTCAAATAGAGCCTTTTTCAGCTTTGGTGTAGCTCACTATGGTAACTGACATATTTAAACCATAAATTTATAAACCATCTTCTTTTTCCCTTTACGTACAATGTAAGGCAATACTGAAGAAAATTATACAATTATACATTAAGGGGGGTGCCAAAAATTTGTGAACTCCAATATGAACTAGGTCTTCAAAACTTCCTGAGCAAAATTTCTGGCTAACATAGACAGGTCCTTCTTTCTACCCATTCTTGTTTGTTTGTTTTTGTTTGTAAGTGGTTTATTTCACAGCAATAGATATCTGAAATGGGCAAAGGTGGAAGACAGATGCAGGACACCAGTGGGCCAGCTTTTGTGGTCATTTAGGGAAGAAATGATGGACTTGAGCAGACCGGTGGGAGTGAGGATAGTAAGTGGTTGGATTCAGGACACTCTTTATTAGTTCAGTTTTCAGGTTGGAATGCTAGGGAAAGAGAGGTATAATAGAAAAGCAGCAAGTCCCTGCCTGGCCCTCCTCTCCAGACCACTCGTTACAGACAACTACTTTAGACTCCTAGCTCTCTCTTTGATAGCTACCATCATATTGCACCAACCAGTTGCTTATACTGTTAGCTTTTTTTCCCTTTGTTTTGCTTTTTTTAAAGAAATAAGATTAAATCGTTGCATAGAGAGAAGTCCTTCTTAATCAAGAAACAAAACCTCAAAAGCATAAAGAGACCTCCAAAAAATAAAAAAACTTGTGTATTATTTTTAAAATGCCACCAAGTTAAAAGAGGAGCTATAATGAAAATATTTGCAAAATATAACACAAATCTCATACCCTAAATATATAAATAATTCTAAAGAAAAAGACAGTCAAATAGAGATTAGTATTCAGCTGCTTTAAGAACTTCACTTTATATTGCTGCATTTTGATGTATGAGTTTTAGACATGTCTCATCCTCCACTGGCTTCTCAGAGCATGGTGGTCTCAGGGTTCCAAGAAGGTGAGAGAAGTTTCAAGACTTCTTAAAGCCTCAGCTGTGGAACTCACACAATGTCCCTTCTTTCTTGTCTTATTGGTCAAAATAACTCATAAGGCCAACCCAGGTCAAAAGGGTGAAGAAATAGACCCCCCCTCTCTCACTGGGAGAAACAGCAAAGTCCCATTGCAAAGTGGTGTGGGTACAGAGATGTATGGTTCTTTGGGATCATTATTATAACACTCTCCCATACGATGCCTAAAAATGCCTTTCTTCAGCACTCAAAATTGATCGTTTTGCTGGGGATATTATTTTAGATTGATAACTATTTTTTCTAAGAATGAAAGCATTGCTGCATTGTCTTATAGCTTCAAGTATTGTTGGCAAGGGTAATGTCATTTTGATTTCTGTTCCTTTATATATGGTCTCATATTCTCCTCTGAAATCTTTCAAGATCTACTTATCCGTCGTATAGTGCACCCTTGACATAAGTAACTCCATCTTAGAAAAAGATCTACCTTACATTTCATAAGGCACTTTGTCAGCTGAGACCAGATGTTTTGCCTGATCAGTAAAAACTGCATCCAGGCCAGGTGTGGTGGCTTATGCCTATAATCCCAGCATTTTGGGAGGCTGAGGCGGGCAGATAACCTGAGGTCAGGAGTTCAAGACCAGCCTGGTCAACATAGTAAACCCCTACCTCTACTAAAAGTATAAAAATTAGCCAGTCTTGGTGGCTGGCACCTGTAATTCCAGCTACTTACTCAGCAGGCTGAGGCACAAGACTCACTTGAACCCGGGAAGCGGAGGCTGCAATGAGCAGAGATCTCACCACTGCACTCCAGCCTGGGCAATATAGTGAGACTGTCTCAAAAATAAATAAATAAATAAATAAATACATACATACATACATACATACATACATACATCACTACATCCAATCAGGTAAGGACATAACCAAGCACATGCCTCCACTATCAGTCCTCACCAGAGGACTCTGTGGCCATAAAAAGAACAGGACTTCAGCAACTCGAATCAGCTGTCTTAACAGACACTGTCTTGTTGTCACTTGAGATAAGCACCTGGAATCTGCCACCGAAGGCTCTGTCGACATCAAAGACGCTTTCTTGCAAGACCAATGGACCACCTGGCCCAGACAAGGAAATTCTTTTTGTCTACATTGCTCTCCCTGGACTGGTTTGTTAACCTCTTTTCCTATCCCCTTTTTCTTGATGTTAAATATTACTTTGTTTGCTATAGAATGTTTAATCTATAACATTTATATACTGATTAAGTGTACTATTATGTAGGATTTGCAGTATTGACTGACTTAGGGAATGGCTTGTCAGGCTCTGTGCCTGCGGCTCTGACTACCAAGTGAATGGGAAGTACTAAGGAGAATTGCCTCCTTGGGAAATCCATGTAGCTTGAGGCTTTTATGATTGAGATGGCATCAATAAAAGTCAGACATCATGGAAAGACACAACTGTGCATGGTGTTGGTTATCTCTGACCTTGTGCTTCTCATGGGATCTACAGTGTGATGAAGTTTCATAACATGGCCTTATATGTCTTCTTTTTTTCTTTTATCTCTTCCTCTTCCTGCTTTGTATTTACTGTGTTAAGCATTCAGAAGTTCATTTTAATCTGGAAACACGTGTCCTTCAGTTTGGAAGTTTTTCTGATATTATTTCTTTGATAGATATGTTTTCCACAAATATATTTTCTCACAAAAAAATTAGAAGAGTGGCGTTATTTTACATTTTTGAACATCTCTTTTCTTAATTTCAATAGCTTTATAAGTGGTTTTGTTTACATAAATTTATCCATGTATAATGGTGAAGTCTGGGCTTTTAGGGTACCTATCACTGAATAGTGTACGGTGTACCTGATAGCTGACTTTTTTATCCCTCATCTACCTCTCACCCTTCCCGCTTCTGAGTCTCCAGTGTCTAGTGTACCAGTCTGCATACTTTTGTGTATCCATAGCTTAGCTCCTACTTATAAGTGAAAACATGCAGTATTTGGTTTTTTCTTCCTGAGTTACTTCACTTAGGATAACAGCCTCCAGTTCCATCTAAGTTCCTGCAAGAGATATTATTTAGTTCTTTTTTATGGCTGAGTAATATTCCATGATATATACACGCCACATTTTCTTTATTGGTTGATGTTCAGTTAGGTTGATTCCATGTGTTTGCAGTTGTGAATTGTGCTGTGATAAACATACACATGCAAGTTTCTTTTTAATATAATGACTTATTTTCCTTTGGTTAGATGCCCAGTAGTGGGATTGCTGGATTAAATGGTAGACCTACTTTTAGTTCTTTGAGAAATCTTCGTATGTTTTCCATAGAGGCTTTACCAATTTATATTCCCACCAATAATGTTTAAGCATTCCCTTTTCACCTCATCCACACCAACATCTATTGTTGTGGTTTTAGTTTGCATTTCCATGATGATTAGTGATGTTGAGTATTTTTTATGTTTGTTGGCCATTTGTATATCCTCTTTTGAGAAATGTCTATTCATATCATTTGCTCACATTTTAGTGGGATTATTTGGTTTTTCCTTGCTAATTTGTTTGAGTTCCTTGTAGATTCTGGATATTAGTCCTTTGTCAAATGTCGAGTTTATAATTTTTTTTATTCTGTAGGTTGTCTATTTGCTCTGTTGATTATTTCTTTTGCTATGCAGAATCATTTCAGTTTAATTAAGTCCTATTTATTTTTATTTTTGTTGCATTTGCTTTTGGAGTCTTAGACATAAATTCTTTGCCTAGGTCAATGTTCAAAAAAGTTTTTCCTAGGTTCTTCTAGAATTTTTATGGTTTCAGGTCTTACATTGAATTTTTTAATCCACCTTGAGTTAATTTTTGTATGTGATGAGAGATAGAAATCTGGTTTCCTTCTTCTGAATGTGGCTGTCCCATTTTCCCAGCACCATGATTGAATAGGTCATCCTTTCCCCAGTGCATGTTTTTTGTTTGTTTTTGTTTTATTTTTGTCTGTTTTGTCAAAGATCAGTTGGTTGTAGATATTTGTCATTATTTCTAGGTTCTCTATTATCTTCTATTTGTCTATATGTATACTTTTATATCAGTACCATGCTATTTTGGTTATTATATCCTTGTAGGATAATTTAAAGTCAGGTAATGTGGTGCCTCCAGCTTTGTTCTTTTTGCTTAGGATTGCTTTAGCTATTTGAGCTCTTTTTTGTTTCCATATGAATTTTAGGTTTGTTTTTCTAATAGTGTGAAAAATGAGGTTGGTATTTTGATAGGAATTGTACTGAATCTATAGATTGCTTTGAGTAATATGGTCATTTTCACATTGATTCTTCTAATCCATGAGCATGGCATGTTTTTCTGTTTGTTTCCTATATATTCTTCCAATTTCATTAACTTATTGATATGGTTTGGTTCTGTGTCCCCACACAAATCTCATGCCAAATTGTAATTCCCAGTGTTGTGGGAGGTACCTAGTGGGAGGTGATCAGATCATGGGGACAGATTTCCCCCTTGCTGTATTTTGTGATAGTGAGTGAGTTTTCATGAGATATGGTTGTTTAAACATACCTAGAACGTCCCCCTTTGCTCTCTCTCTCTCGCTCCCTTGCTTGCTTCCCCTTCACCTTCTGCCACTATTGTAAGTTTCCTGAGGCCTTCCACCCATGCTTCTGGTACAGCCTACAGAACTGTGGGTCAATTAAACCTCTTTTCTTCATAAATTACCCAGTCTCAGGTAGTTCTTTATAGCAATGTGAGAATGGACTAATATAGAAAATTGGTACTACCAGAGAAGTGGGGCATTGCTACAAAGATACCTGAAAAAGTGGAAGCAACTTTGGAACTAGGTAATAGTCAAAGATTCTAACAGATACAGGGCTCAGAAGAAGACAGGAAGATGTGGGAAAATTTGGAACTTCCTAGAGGTTTGTGAATGGTTTGGACCAAAATGCTGATAGTGATATGGAAAGAGATGGCCAAGCTAATGAAGTATCAGATGGAGATAAGGAACTTATTGGGAACTAAAGTAAAGGTCACTCTTCCTATGCTTTAGCAAAGAAAGTGGTAGCATTGTGCCCCCATTCTAGAGATCTGTGGAACTTTGAACTTGAGATGGTTTAGGGTACCTGGCAGAAAAATTCTAAGCACCAAAGCATTTAACATGTAGCCTGGCTGCTTCTAAAAGCCTATGCTCATTTGCATAAACAAATAAATGACTGGAAAATAAAACTTATATTAAAAAGGGAAGCAGAGCATAAAAGCTTGGGAAATTTGCAGCCCAACTATGTGGTAGAAAAGAAAAAAAAACATTTTCTGGGGAGGAATTCAAGGCTGCAGAAATTTGCATAAGTAAAGAAAAGCCAAATGTTAATAGCCAAGATAATGGAGAAAATGACTCCATGGCACTTCAGAGACCTTTGCGGCAGCACCTCTCATCACAGGCCTGGAGGCCTAAGAGGAAAAAAATTGTTTCATGGGCCAGGCCCAAAGCCTTCCTGCTGTGTGCAGCCTCAGAACATGGCACCCTGCCTCCCAGCCTCTCCAGCTCTAGTCATGGCTAAAAGGGGCCAAAGTACAGATGAGGCCATTGATTCAGAGGGTGCAAGGCCCAAGCTTCCACATGGTGTTGGGCCTACAGGTGTACAGAAGGTAAAAGTTGAGGTTTGGGAGACTCTGTCTAGATTTCAAAGGATGTATGGAAATGTCTTGATGTCCAGGCAGACATCTGCTGCAGTTCTCATTGGGGAACCTCTACTAGGGCAGTGCAAAGGGGAAATGTGGAGTGAGAGCCCCCACACAGAATCCTCACTGAAGCACTGCCTACTGGAACTGTGAGAAAAGGGCCACCATCCTCCGGACCCCAGAATGATAGATCTACCCACTGCTTGCCCCATGTACCTGGAAAAGCTGCAGGCACTCAATGTTAGCCTATGAAAGCAGCCACAGGGACTGTACCCTGCAGAGCCACAGGGATGGAGCTGCCCAAGGCCTTGAGAGCCCAACTTCTTTTTCATCAGTGTGGCCTGGATGTGAGACATGTAGTCAAAGGAGATTACTTTGGAGCTTTAGGATTTAATGACTACCCAGGTGGGTTTCGGACTTGCATGGGGCTTGTAGCCCCTTTGTCTTGGCCAATTTCTCCCTTTTGGAATGGGGACATTTGCTTGCCCAATGCTTATACCCCCATTGTATCTTGGAGGTAACTAACTTGTTTTTGGCTTTATAGGCACACAGGAGGAAAGGACTTGCCTTGTCTCAGATTAGACTTTGGACTTGGACTTTTGAGTTAATGCTAGAATTAGTTAGGATTTGGGGGGACTGTTGGAAGGCATGATTGTGTTTTGAAATGTGATAAGGTTGTTAAATTTGGGAGGGGCTGGGGCATAATTACATGGTTTGGCTCTGTGTCCCCACACAAATCTCATGTTGAATTGTAATTTTCAATGTTGTGGGAGGGAACTGGTTGGGGGTGATTGGATTATGGGGGTGGATTTCCACCTTGCTATTCTCATGATAGTAAGTCCTCATGAGATTGGGTTGTTTAAACATGTGTAGCACTTTCCCCTTCACTGTGTTTCCTGTTCCACCATAGTAAGATGTGCTTGCTTCCCCTTCACTTTCCACCATGATTGTAAGCTTCCTGAGGGCCCCCAGCCATGCTTCCTGTACAGCCTGCAGAACTATGAGTCAATTAAATCTCTTCTTCATAAATTTCCTGGTCTCAGGTAGTTCCTTATAGCAGCAGTATGAGAACTAATACATCTATATTCCACAAATTTTCCTTTAATCTCAGAAAATTACACCTCCTACTTGTCAGGAAAATAGGAACCAAAACAGAATCTCTCAACCTTAAGTTTCTTTATCAATAATGATATGAAGATTCTCACCAGACAACTCTTGTCCCTCTACAGAAGCATCAGTTTGAACTATCTACATTCAAAAATACCTTCACAAGAGCTAAGGAAACCAGCTGAGATATTATAGCACCTGGGTGTAGCACAGAAATAAGAAAAGATGCATTGAAGAGGGTAGGAAGGATGATTTTACATTACCTGTGTCACCACCTGTGTTCCCCACAACCCCAGGCAGCATGGCATAGAGAGAAATAGCCTCTGCATGAAGGAAGGAGAGGGAAATGAACACTGGACTTTGCCTCAGGCTCTAATATCAGAATAGCCCCAGTAAAATTCAGCACTGGCCAGTACCCCATGGTCCCAGGTTCCAGGAGTCCCTTGCTGACTTGGTCTCTGGACCCACAACTTTGCCAGGCCAACTCCAGTGGCTCCAGGTTTCAAGCCTACCCCAGTGTGAGGCAGGCCCCATAGCCCTAGTCATAAGGTCCATATCCACAGATCCAGACTCCAAGCTGACTCTCAGGTCCAGGCTCCCAGCTTGCCTAGTACCAGGCCAGCCCCTGTGACCCCAGTTTCCAGCTCTGCACCAGGTTCCAGACCAGCTCAGAGCAAGGTTGGCCTACACAGCACCAGGCTTCAGGCCCACTCCAGCATCAGGTCAGCACCCCTGGCCTCAGGTACCAGGCTAGCACTCACAGACACAGGATCCAGGCTTATGCAGTATGAGACTGGTCCCTGTGGCCCCACCCACCAGGCCAACCCCAGCATTCCTACTTTTTAGCAGACCTAGGACTCAGGGCTTCTTGAATACCCAGGGTCCAGGCCCATCCCAATAAACCCCAGCACTAGGCCTACCCTGCTGGACCCAGGCTCTAGGAATGCTACTGTGGACCTACGTTTCAGGCCAGCATCTGAGGCCCCAGGACCCATCCATCCATCGTGAACTCAATTCCTAGACTAGCACTTATACACCCAGTCTCCAGTCTGGCCCCTGAAGACCCAAGTTTTAAGCATATCCCCACAGCTCCATATTCCAGAACCCTATGATTCCAGGGACCAGGCCAGCCCCTGCAATCTCAGACTCCAGACTGGTCTTTGTAGACCCAGGGTCCATTCCTGCCCCAGCACCAGGCTAGTTCCAGGCTCTAGGCCAATGAGTAAGGCCCCCATTCCATTGAGAATAGAGGAAGGTTTTGTTTTCTGGTCCTGGACTTTGGGAGTGTGTCAGTTTGTTTTGAAACCAAAAGTTGAGAGCAGAAAAGGTGATTCCATGCAAAATTGCTGTCAGTTCCTCATCACCTCACAAGCTGAAGGAGAGAAGATAGCAGTGGAGCCTTCTTCTAGAATGTCTCTATTCTCCACCTCTGGATGTCATCATACGTAAGTGCTTGGCTGAATGTGATTGATTCTCAATGGCAATGTGGGAAAGCGTGACACCTACTCCAAGTCACACCATTCTCTCTTTGTGGGGTAGAAAGAAAAGATATATACTCTTGAATTCATCATGAGAACATGTCATCTAGGTAATCATCCTACAGGAAGTTGATATCTCTGTCAGTTTAAATGACCCAATCTTTGGTAGTTGGAAATCCTGCCATGTAAGTCCCCTCAGTCAGCCATTAATAAAAATCTCACAATCTCCCAGAGTAATCTGACGCATGACCTTGAATACTGGTATTCCCCATTCTTCAGAGCAACCATACCATTTAGACCAGACAAGGGTTCAGAAAAAAATTTATTCTCTGAACTCTGACCTTTGCCTAAAACCATGCCATATCCTAGGCTCAACAATGCCACAGTTAGCAAAACAGCCCTACAGTGAAGGTTTCCAAATCTTATCCTAAACAATAGCCACAGACATATCTTTAACCCAAGTTCAACTGCATTTCTAAAACTAGCCACTAATGACGTTTGTGAGTGCCAAGTGAGAGTGAATGAAGGACCTGACTATTGCTTTGCCAAACATTCCAACAAGGCCAATTGCTAATCCTCTGGATACTTGAAAGGTCAATGCATTGCCAAATCCTGCAGTCTGTGATAGTCTATTTAAATATTTCTCTAGAGCCAATGAAGAAAGAATTACAAAGAAGGACCTGTGAGCAAATGACAGCAGCAGAGACAGGATGCAAAATGATGAAGATTTGTTTGGGAAACACCACTCCTGAGCTTAGTGGGTTTCTAGGAAAACAGAGTTGAAGGAGAACTTGAATCATAAATAAAAGGAATTCTTTCACCACATTTTTCAGGGACTCAAGGAAACAAAATTTCATCAGAATAGATTTGAGAAAACAATATCCAATCAAGTGGATTTGATTTACTTATTCATTTTATAGTTGCATTTTCCAAATTTGAAGAATTTTGCATTATTCCTAGTTTTTAATCTGGATTGAATAGAGTCCTAAGAGATCTGAAAAATAGATATATTTTGAAGATTGGCTTATACATTCATAGGAAACCCAGAAAGTGAGTAGACACTCAATCCTAGAGATACTGAAGTTTCCTAACTGAAACATCTTGTTTTCTTAGTAAATTCAGACTGACAATGGAAAGCAAAATAAACTAAAATGTCAGAATTGGGAGAGCCATCTAGGGAATTCCAATATCCCACTTGTCAGCTCATAGAATCTATTTGTGGCCATGTTCCATGCCTGCAGGAGAAGAAAGCAGTGACTGCACTCAATCTAAAATTGGAGGAATCCACAATCAACTAGATCCGGGTCAGTGAAAACTATACTTTTTCTCCTAAATTTTGAGCAGATTAACTTGTTTTAGCCAATTTGTTTTCAGTGAAGTAGTTTTTGTCATTCCGTACTTGACTTAAAGTTGAGTATTTTTCTCTGAAAATGAATTTGGACACACTGACATAAAAATATCAATAGAAAAGCCTATGCATAATGTTGCCAGACCAGATGCTGCTAAAAACTTACTGAAGTCACTTTTAAAACATCATGGTTAACATTTATGTCTCACTGAATACACTGATTCTGTAGATTTCTGTTTGTCATGCTTGAAATGTTTTTCCCCTTTTCGTGACTTCCCATATTGCTACATTGAAGTTAGAATTTGTGAATTAAATCCATTAAGGATGATTAACCATATAATCACCATCTACAGAAGCCATGAATAAAGAGAAAGCAACTTAGCAACTGAGTTTTCCTGAAAACCAAAGATATTTTTACTCACCTTTAATGAAGCTCAGAGGTCATGACGCTGACTGATTTCTGTTTCTAGAAATTTTTGAGGAAAACTATGTGGTTACATTTTTGCCAGGGGTTAGGGAAAGAAGGAGAAAAGGGGGAGGAGAAGAAATAAAATATCTTATGCTCTTTTGTAACAATATGTACTTACTCTTGAAACTCTTTGTCTAGATTATTCAAAAATATCTACATTCTTATAATACTGAATGTTTTCCATTAGCAATACAAATTTCCAGTTGTTTACCAGTTAGCAATGAAAACTACAAGTTCATCTTAATTGACTGAACTTATGCCAAAAGAGAAAATTGCATTATCTCAGGTGACCCAGACATTTCTGTCTTGCCGATAGAAAACTCAGGGAAAACATCATGACTCATTTAATTCCATTTGTAAGATGTGAGTGGGGAAGTATATCTAATCTGGTGTATAATTCTGTATGTGATAAAAGTTCAACCGTGAGGGAAATGTATTTATGAAATATCATTAAATATTATAACTTTGCACCATTTATATAGCCACAATTAAAGATGCAGAAAGAGTGAGCATGAAAAAAAGGGTCATTTAGAGATAGATGCAACATTCAGGGATGTTGAATGAATTATCCTCAATGAGCTGTTATTGTGATAGTTACCCAGCATTCTGAAAGAAGAATATCTCCATTTGCAGCTCTGTCTCAATCTGTGTACATGTGCATTTACATGACAGAAAAGGACAATAGATCACAGAACACAGCTGGCTTAGAATTAGTAAGGCTTTGCACTTTAGTATCAAATATGCATATTAGTATCTAATACACATACTGGGTTCATATACCTATAAATAACCATAACAAGAGAAAATATAATTTCAAAACAATTGTTATTGATAAGATTTGTCCTCCCCCAAAATGAAAGAAAGCCATATGTGAAATTTTAGAGCCAGAAAGGAAGTTTGGAAGTCAACATTTATAACAAGATCTTGTTTGTGGTACTTGTAAGATATTATCACTATTTAATTAATATATGAATTAGGAGAAATCTAATCTTCTGTTCTTCTTTACAACTCTGCAAAACAGCAGAGGTGAGTGGCAATGTAGCTCCATCACCCCCAAAAACCAGGACTAAAGAGGTGATGAAATATTTTAGTATTGAATTTAAAATATCATCATTCAGAAATACTATTTTTTTTCAGGTGGGCCATATACACACAACCTGAGCTAAATCTATGAAAAAAGATGAACAATGTAACAGAATTCATCCTGCTGGGCCTCACTCACAATCCAGAACTGCAGAAATTCCTGTTTGTTATGTTTTTAATCACCTACTTGATCACACTGGCAGGTAACCTGCTCATCTCAGTCATCATCTTCATCAGCCCAGCCCTGGGTTCCCCCATGTACCTTTTTCTGTCCTATTTATCCATTATAGATATTTTCTACTCTTCTTCCATAGCCCCTAAAATGATCTTTGACTTGATCTCTGAAAACAACACCATATCCTTCAATGGCTGCATGACTCAGCTCTTCACAGAACATTTCTTTGCGGCAGCTGAGACCATCTTATTAAGTGTCATGGCCTACGACTGCTATGTGGCCATCTGTAAGCCCTTGCACTATGCAACCATCATGACCCAATCTATGTGTGGATTCCTGATGGTGGTGGCTGGAATTCTGGGATTTGTGCATGGAGGAATCCAGACTTTGTTCATAGCCCAGTTACCATTCTGTGGCCCCAATGTCATCGACCACTTTATGTGTGATTTAGTACCTCTTCTGGAGCTGGCCTGCACAGACACTCACACTTTAGGGCCTCTGATTGCTGCCAACAGTGGGTCACTGTGTTTCCTCATTTTTTCCATACTGGATGCTTCCTATGTCATCATCTTGTGCTCCCTAAGGTCTCATAGCTCTGAAGGGCATCTCAAAGCTCTGTCTAGTTGTGCCTCTCATATCTTCACTGTCATCTTATTCTTTGTCCCTTGTTCATACCTGTATCTAAGACCTCTAACCTCCTTCCCCACTGACAAAGCTGTGACTGTGTTTTGCACCCTATTTACACCTATGTTGAACCCTTTAATCTACACTGTCAAAAATAAAGCAGTGAAAAATGTCATTAAGAAGCTCTGGAAGCAAATAATGACAACTGATGATAAATAAGTCTGGTGACACAAACATTTAGGCAAGAATATCTGGTGATATTTTATAGAGATTTATTCTATTTCTTGATTGATTAAACTTGGGACAGTCAATTATCTTATCCTGTCTCCATCAATTTTTATTAGGAGGACATATATTAGGCTAGGCTGACATATTTATTAAGGCACAGTAGTGCCAACAGCCCATGATACTTTTAGGAGCCGCTGAAATGCTTAATGCTTAATTTCTTTAAAAGAAGAAGAAGAAAATGAATATAATCTAAGTACAACTGGATTATATTTATCTTTATGCCAATACACTCATAAAATATAATTTTTAATACTTTTTATGGAGGAAAGAACTCACAAGGGCAAAAGTTTCAAGGGCTCACAAAATTTATATTGTTGCCTGCTTGTGGGTATGAAACAGATTAACAGCAACATTCTTGACACCTTTCATACTCAGCACTACAGCTAGAATGAAGTTTTATTTTACAAGAGGACAAACAACTATACATGAAAGGGCTAAAAACAACATTTTCATGAAAACTTACTTTTAAAAAATTATATCTCCATTCTCTATAGTATACAATTCTCTACAAAAATAATTGAAAGTATTTTTTTTTTTTTTTAGGCAGAGCCTTGCTCTGTCACCCAGGCTAGAGTACAGTGGCATGATATCAGCTTACTGCAACCTCCACCTCCAGGGTTCAAGCGATTCTCGTGCCCCAGCCTCCCAAGTATCTGGGATTACAGGTGCACACCACCATGCTCAGCTAATTTTTGTATTATTAGTAGAGACAGGGTTTCACCATGTTGGCCAGGCTGGTCTCAAACTCCTGAACTCAGGTGATCAGCTCACCTTGGCCTCCCAAAGTGCTGGGATTATAGGCGTGAGCCACTGCACCCAGGAAGAATTGAAAGTATTATTGGCTGGAGCAAAAGAAATATAATTGATAAATGTAACTGATAAAAATAAAGTTAAGGCAAAAAATATCTATACATTAAAATCTGGTTTTACATGCCAGCAAAGGAAAAGAAAGCACTGAAAACAAAACAGCTGAAAAGGAAATTACCAGAGATGTAGAAATAAGTTTGTATCATGAAACTGGATGACAGTGATCATAAATGTAGATTATAGAAAAGAATCCATATCAAGAATGTAATGAAATGCTAAAAGATTCAGATATAGTCAGATGCTTTGAAGTTAGGGATTAAGAGCCCTGGGTCAAACAGACTTGATTTCTCATCTGGTCTCCAGAATTAATTAGCCTTATAAATGTAAGCAAATTGTTTCACCTCTCAACCTGTTCCTTCATCAGTAAAAGGGAAATAACATTACATGTTTTTTTTTCAGTAATGATAATTAAATGATTTAAAGTGAAACCATGAGTCAGCTGAAAAGTCATAAAAATTGGTCCAACACTGAATACCCTTCAGGGATGGCACCGGAGTCTAAGGTATGCAGCAGACTGTGGTTCCAGACAAACGATAACAAGTACATCACCACTCTTCTTCAGTCCCCACAGGCGTAGCAGGATTCAATGTCTGTGTCAGACCACTGCATTTCAAAATCTAGCATGGCCGGGCGCAGTGGCTCATGCCTGGAATCCCAGCACTTTGGGAGGCCAAGGTGGGTGGATCACAAGGTCAGGAGATCGAGACCATCCTTGCTAACATGGTGAAACACCTTCTCTACTAAAAATACAAAAAAATCAGCCAGGCGTGTGGCGGGTGCCTGTAGTCCCAGCTACATGGGAGGCTGAGGCAGGAGAATGGTGTGAACTCGGGAGGCGGAGCTTGCAGTGAGCTGAGATCGCGCCACTGCACTCCAGCCTGGGCGACAGAGCAAGACGCTGTCTCAAACAAACAAACAAAAAATCTGTCATTAATGTCATCCGCTTACACATACAGACAGCACAACGGTAGGTTGTTTTCTCACCTGGGATGCTTACTGGAGCCACCAACCAGGTCTTTGGAAATTAAAGTCTATCCCATCACTTATTTTCTCTTCTGAGATGAAAATACTCTTCAATGTCTCTGTAGTTAAAATGAGGGAGCTGGTGGGGGCCACTGTGAGATGCCTGAGCAGAACTAAGTTTAAAAGCTCTGATGAATGACAGATCCCATCCTGTTCTGGTCCTCTGAAAGAAGGAGAAAGGAGAGTCAGTGCCAAGGACCAAAAGATCTGTCTGTACTTAGCTTGTGGTTCCTGTGGGAGAACTCAGAAACATGTTTTTAGGAGGACATTTCTAACCCATGGAGCTGCACATCACTGGATGCAGACATTTTCTGTGTTCTCGGGACCTTGTATCAGGTCACATCTTGCATGCAATGCCTTTTTAAAAATAAATGCATTTTCATAATTTCTTATGAGTGCCTATTTTGTAAATACATGCAAACAACACTGTTTTTAAAAATAAAATTTATCCTTTAAAAATGTAGTTGTATACCATTTGACCCAGCAATCCCATTACTGGATATATAACCAAAGGATTATAAATCATTCTACTATAAAGACACATGCACATGTATGTTTACTGCAGCACTATTTCCAACAGCAAAGACTTGGAGCCAACCCAAATGCCCATCAATGATAGACTGGATAAAGAAAATGTGGCACATATACACCATGGAATACTATGCAGCCATGAAAAAGGATGAGTTCAGGTCCTTTGCAGGGAAATGGATGAAGCTGGAAACCATCATTCTCAGCAAACTAACACAGGAACAGAAAACCAAACACTGCATGTTCTCACTCTTAAGTGGGAGTTGAACAATGAGAACACATAGACACAGGGAGAGGAACATCACACACTGGGGCCTGTTGTGGGGTTGGGGGCTAGGGGAGGGATAGATGAGTTGATGAGTGCAGCAAACCACCATGGCACGTGTATACCTATGTAACAAATCTGCACTTTCTGTACATGTACCGTAGAACTTAAAGTATAACTTTTAAAAAATGTAGTTGTAATTCCCAAGAAAAACAGAATGAGAAATAGGATAATACAAAAATAAGAATAATGATGACAATTGTGATAATGATTATAACTAATTTCTATTAAGCACTTTCTGTGAATGAAGTCCTGACCTAAGCACTCACTTTGTATGTTTTGTATGTATTGGAAGCAGTGAATTTCTTTTTTTAACATTTTATCTGACAGATAAAATTACATATATTTATCATGTACAACATGATGTTTTGAAATATGTATACATTCTGGAATTCAGGTGGATCATCAGGACTTGTTTTCCAAGCACCAGTCACAACCCCGCTGGTCAAAGCAGGATGCAGTAAAGAAACTGGCTGAAATCAGCTAAAACCAAGATGGCAATGAAAGTGACTTCTAGTCATCCTCATTGCTCATTATACTCTAACTATAATGCATTGGCATGCTAAAAGACACTCCCAACAGTTCCCTGACAGTTTACAAATGCCATGGCAATGCCCAGAAGTTACCTTATACGGTTTAAAATGGGAGAAACCCTAGTTTCTGGAAACTCTCCACCTCTTTTCCAGAAAATTCATGAATAACCACCCACTACTTACCATAGTTAAGGAGTAGCTATAAATATAACTAGCCAGCAAGCAAGCAGAGCTACTCTGCCTATGGAAAAGCCTTGCTCTGTCTATGGAGCAGTCATTTCCTTATACTTTGTTGCTCTAATAAATTTACTTTCAGTTTGCTCTGAATCCTTTCTGGCACAAAGCCAAGAAACTTCACAGGCTGAGCCACAGTTTTCAGGTTCATCTGCATCATCTTTCCTGGTGAGTACGAAGGGACCAATAACATGAAGGGACTAACAAGCTGAAGGGATCTGTGGGAGACAATTACCTGAACCCCAAATTAAGACCAATTGGCACCATTTGGCCTTCATGGATGGGAGAGCGTCCCCTTCGGTCACCCTCCTATTCGGACAATTATTTCTATTCGGGCCTTGTTTGTTTCTTTTGTTATTTTGAGAGGTTCCCCATGGCACTCTGGATTTTTTTACATTCCCTCTAGGGTTGTGGGTTAGAGTCCCACCCTAGGGGCAATCTTGGTCTTTGTCATACCACCATTTTCAGCGACCTCCTCTAGTCCCTCTTTTTCCTCAACCAAAATGCTTTCTTCCCTTTTTGTGGAATTCAGACTATGAGAATCCTGTCACCCTATTTTTTGGGGGCAGGGTTAAAAAAAACCAAGAACTGTATTGGCACAAATTACTGGTTTCTATCCCATATTTTCTCAATTATCTTTATTTTTTATTTTTTATTTTTTTTTACTTTAAGTTCTGGGATACATGTGCAGAACATGCAGTTTTGTTACATAGGTATATACATGTGCCACGGTGGTTTGCTGCACGCATCAACCTGCCATCTAGGTTTAAAGCCCCGTATGCATTAGGTATTTTTCCTAATGCTCTCCCTCCCCTTTCCCCCTACCCCCCAACAGGCCCCGGTGTGTGATGTTCCCCTCCCTGTGTCTATGTGTTCTCGTTGTTGAACTCCTACTTATGAGTGAGAACATGCAGTGTTTGGTTGTCCATTCCTGTGTTAGTTTGCTGAGAATGATGGTTTCCAGCTTCATTCATGTCCCTGCAAAGGAGATGAACTCATTTTTTTTTTCTGTCACCCTATTTTCACCTCTCCTTCTGTACTTTGCTTATTACAACACTCCTTTTCTTGTATTCCATTTGCCAGTGGACACAGTCATCACTCCACTGATCACTTATATCTCATAATTCACTTTCATCACACCCTGCTAACTGTACTTACACCCTCTTTGCAGGAACTGGTGACAACTTCCCCACTGATCTTTCTTGAGAAAAAAAGGTGAGAATTTAAAAGGGAAAATAACTGGGCTCTCATTAGACTTAGAAAAACTTCTGTAGGGATCCTCGTTAGACACGGCGACAATAGTGAGCATCCCGAAGAACTCATCACTAGGGTGTCTTTTAGGCAATTGGAGTAAATGCAAATTAGACAGCTTCAAGGGAAAGAAATTCATTTCCTATTGCAATATGATTTGGGTCCAATACAAATTGGAAGACCAAGAAATTTGGCCTAAAAATGGTTATTTACCTTATAATACTATTTTACAGTTGGACTTATTCTGTGAAAAGGAAGGAAAATGGACAGAGGTCCCTTATGTACAGGTGTTTACGGCCCTTTACCAGAACCCTCACTTAAGGGAGAGCTGTAGGATGTGCCTGGCTCATGTTACTTCCAGATACCAAGAAGATGCACTTCCTAGATGATACCCTCCTAGCTGCTCTCCCTAGGAGGCCCACATGTCCCTTGGAGCCTCCTCAGTTCCCTGATTCTGAGGGGAGTCCCACTAGTTTTCCAGCCCAGGATTTCACCCTAGGGTCATCAGACTCCCCTCCCACTTAGCCAGTTAGGCCCAACCTATACCCCTGCTGCTTGAGGAAATAAGCCCAACCAGTACCACCAGGAGTGATGCCCCATATCAGCCCCTAAAATTGAACCCGTGACCATTGCAAGAGGTAGCTGACAGAAATAGGGGAACAATTAGGGTACATGTGCCTCTTTCTGCGTCTGATTTGACTTTATGCAAGGAGAAATTTGGCCCATTTTTGGAAGATCCAGGGAAGTTTATAAAGGAATTTATTAAGTTGACCATATACTTTATCTTGACAAGACTTGCAAATATTATTGTCCACCTGCTGTACCACAAGACAGAAACAAAGGATTCTGGGTACTGCCCATGAATATGCAGATGGAGTAGCTACTTGAAACAAAAGCCATGCCATTTATCATGTGAAGGGAGATGCAGTTCCAGACTTGGACCTCAGTGGGGTTGCCAGAGGGGTTCCCAAGATTTCAAATGCAGAAATCACATGGTAACTTATTTAATAGAAGGTATGGAAAAGATATGGTTAAGCCAGTTATGACGATGTTACAGAAGTAAATCAGGGGAAGGAAGAACATCCTGCTCTGTTTCAGGACAGTATGGCTGAGGCACTCAGGAAATACACTAATGCAGACCCAGACTCCTGGGAGGAGCAAGCTCTCCTAGGTATAAATTTTATTACTTGATCTGCCCTTAACTTAGGAGGAAACTACAAAAGGCAGAAATGGGACTTCAAACACCCAAGAACCAACTCTTAAACACGGCCTTTGGAGTTTACAACAATAGGGACAGGGCAGAGAAGGTGAAGAAAATCTGAAGAAATAGCCAAAAAGTTATTAATTCAACATGGATTAAAGACTTAAACATTAGACCTAAAACCATAAAAACCCTAGAAGAAAACCTAGGCATTACCATTCAGGACATAGGCATGGGCAAGGACTTCATGTCTAAAACACCAAAAGCAATGGCAACAGAAGCCAAAATTGACAAATGGGATCTAATTAAATGAAAGAGCTTCTGCACAGCAAAAGAAACTACCATCGGAGTGAACAGGCAACCTACAAAATGGGAGAAAATTTTCGCAACCTACTCATCTGACAAAGGGCTAATATCCAGAATGTACAATGAACTCAAACAAATTTACAAGAAAAAAACAAACAACCCCATCAAAAAGTGGGCGAAGGACATGAACAGACACTTCTCAAAATAAAACATCTATGCAGCCAAAAAACACATGAAAAAATGCTCACCATCACTGGCCATCAGAGACATGCAAATCAAAACCACAATGAGATACCATGTCACACCAGTTAGAATGGCAATCATTAAAATGTCAGGAAACAATAGGTGCTGGAGAGGATGTGGAGAAATAGGAACACTTTTACACTGTTGGTGGGACTGTAAACTAGTTCAACCATTGTGGAAGTCAGTGTGGCGATTCCTCAGGGATCTAGAACTAGAAATACCATTTGACCCAGCCATCCCATTACTGGGTATATACCCAAAGGACTATAAATCATGCTGCTATAAAGACACATGCACACGTATGTTTATTGCGGCATTATTCACAATAGCAAAGACTTGGAACCAACCCAAATGTCCAACAATGATAGACTGGATTAAGAAAATATGGCACATATACACCATGGAATACTATGCAGCCATCAAAAATGATGAGTTCATGTCCTTTGTAGGGACATGGGTGAAATTGGAAATCATCATTCTCAGTAAGCTATCGCAAGGACAAAAAACCAAACACTGCATGTTCTCACTCATAGGTGGGAATTGAACATTGAGAACACAAGGACACAGGAAGGGGAACATCACACTCTGGGGACTGTTGTTGGGTGGGGGGAGGGGGGAGGGATAGCATTAGGAGATATACCTAATGCTAAATGACAAGTTAATGGGTACAGCACACCATCATGGCACGTGTATACATATGTAACTAACCTGCACATTGTGCACATGTACCCTAAAACTTAAAGTATAAAAAAAAAAAGAAATAACCAAAAAGCACAATTCTTAGTGGCTGCCTTAAACTCTGTGCCACCTCAGGATTACCCATTCTGAGAAAGTGTCATGAAATCAGCCTCTGGGATGCCCAGGTGAAAGTCTCTGACTTGCTGTCCCCTCGGCCAGTGTTTTTTTCTGTAAGCAAGAGGGCCATTGGGAAAGGGACTTCCTCAGGCTCTGAAGAAAGCCTCGGCTACCCACACTCACAATGGCTAAGAGAACAGAGGATTGAAGGGGCCTGAAGTCCTCCATGGTTCCCACTGTACATCTTGCCATCTCCACAGGAGATCCTTGGCTAACCCTTGATGTGGTAGGTAAGAAGACTGAGTTCTTATTGGGTAAGAGTTCTGACCCATTTCTCAGGGCCAGTTGTCTTCCTGCTCTTATACCATAACAGAGATTGATATCCAAGAATTAGGAGATTCACCCACTGCCTTGGTTGCAATGTGCAGGACCATAGGTTTTAAACCTGAGTGCCCTGTGTCTTTACTGGGAAGGGACTTACATTCCCAATTACAGGCCACAGTTCAATTTGAGGAGCCTTATGATAAGGCAATAGGCCAGGAAGGGCTCTAAGTGAATAACTTAATACACACAGATACATAAAAGACCTCCCTTCCACTGCATATTACTTCTCAAGTAGACCCCTCTGGGAAATAGAAGTTGCTGGTAGAGCTGTTAATGTACCCCCAGTCCAGGTTACCTTGAAGCCCAATGTTGGTTACCCATGGAGGAAACAATATCCATGAGACCTGAAGCACAACTGGGCATACAACCCCTGATAGCAAAGTTTCTAAAGTATGGACTACTACAGCCCTGGCAGTCCCCATGTAATACCCCCATCCTGTGTGTAAAGAAGGAAAATGGGGAATACAGATTTAAGCCCTGAGGACAGTTAATGAGGTATTAGTCACTGCCTACCCAATAGTTCCTAACCCTTACACAATATTGAACCAAATCCCCGAAGATGCTAATTGGTTCACAGTATTAGATTTAAATGATGCTTTATTTTACATATCTTTACACCCAGACGTCCCAGTATATTTCTGCTTTTGAATGGACTGATCCAGACCCTCATGCTATATCTCAGTTTACCTGGACTCTTTCCTCCAAGGTCATAGGGACAGTCCTCATCTCTTTGGGAATGCATTGACAAAATAATTAAGGGAATTATAGTTAAAAAATGGATCCATTTTACAATATGTAGATGACCTATTAATTTCCAGCACTACTAGAAAATACTCTAATAAAAATACAATTCAGGTCCTTAATTTTGGGAGAAAACAAGGGTATCGTGTATCCCCCCCAAGCACAAGGCCCAGATTTCTATTCAAAATGTTAAATACTTGGGATACATGTTCCCTCCTGGGACAAGGACCCTAGCGCAGAAACAGAAAGAGACCATCCTGGCACTCCAGCCCCTTCAGACTAAGAAATAGTTAAGAACCTTTGTGGGAATGACTGGATTATGCTGGATTTGGATTCCTGAGTTGGGGCTCATATCAAAACCACTCTATGAAGGTCTAAAAGGGAATGATCATGAGCCTTTGAACTGGGATGGAACCTGCCAACAGGCATTTCTAACCTTAAAAGAAAAGATGGGAACAGCCCCTGCTTTGGGACCTTTCACCCTCTATATGGCTGAAAAACAAGGGACAATTTTGGGTGTTCTAAATCCAAGGCTCAGGAATTATCCCAGATGAATGGCTTCTCTAAACAGCTGGAACAGATGGTGGCTGGATGGCCAGGATTCTTGCAAGCTATGGCCACCATCACTCTATTGATAGAAACAGACAGTAAGTTTACCTTGGTGCACCATTTAGATGTTATGACCTCCCCATCAAGTACAGGAGGTTCTAGAGGCAAAAGGACGTCCATGGCTAATAGGAAGCCAGTTACTTAAATATCAGGCCCTTCTGCTTGACACCCCCAGATGTTACCCTTAAGGTATATTAAGTTTTAAACTCTGTTACCCTGTTCCCAGACTTCACATCCCAAGAAACAGGTCCCCAATTCATCCACTCCTATGTGAAAACCATGGAACAGACCTACTCTAGCAGGTCTGACCTTAAATATGAGCCCCTGATAGCTTTGATGTTTTGTGGTCTACAGACAGGAGTAGCTTTATTCATAAAGGAGTAGTAAAGAAGACAGGTAATGCTATGGTTAGCCAACAAGAAGTTATTAAGGCCAAAGTTTTACCTCCCCAGACTTCTCCTCAAAAAGTGGAATTAATTGTTTTAATAAGGACCCTCCAACTGGGAAAAGAGTCAATATATTTACTCATTCTAAATATGGATTCCTGATGCTCCATGCTCATGCTGCCTTGTAGAAAGAAAGAGGACTACTAACATCTAAGGGGTCCCCCATAAAACATCACTGAGATCTTGGAACTTTTAGATACTGTCCAGCTCCCAAAAGAAATAGCAGTTATTCATTGCAGGGGACACAATAAGGGAGACATGTCTAGTATTAGAGGAAATGCTCTGGCAGACAGAGCAGCCAAGGCCACTGCTACAAGAAGATCAGTACCACGGGCCACTGCACTAATGCCTGATACTCCACCCATGTCAGCAGAATCATACTGTACACCTGAGGAAATTAAATGAACATAACAGAAAGGCTTACAAAAGAGTCCCTCATGGTAGTTGCTAGAAAGCAACAAACTTTCTCCCCAAGGCTAAGCAGTGGAAAATAATTAAGCATTTCCATAACTCCTCACATTTGGGATGGAATTCTCTCTTCAAATTGGTTTCCCAAATATTCTTGGAGAAGGGACTATTCCAGACTGAAAAAGGGGTCACCAGGACCTGTGAACTCTGTGCCCATAATAACCCAGGAAGCCACCTACTCAAACCTTTATAACATCAAGGAACATATCCTGGGGAAGACTGGCAAATAGATTTCACTCAGACTGCCTTACAGAGGACTACAATATTTGCTAGTACTTATAGCCATTTTCACCAGATGGATAGAAACTTTTCCCACAAGGACAGAAAAAGTATTGGAAGGGTCCAAATTCTTACTTAAAGAAGTTCATCCCAAGGTTTGGATTATCAAAAAGCTTGCCAAGTGGTAATGGACCCTTCTTCATAGGTAAGGTGACCCCGCAGGTTTCCTCAGCCTTGGGCATTACCTGTCATCTTCATTCCTCCTGGAGGCTTCAATCCTCTGGTAAGGTAGAAAGAGCCAACCATGTTTTTAAAAGGACATTAGCAAAACTCTGTTGGGAAACCTGGGAGGCCTAAGTTTTTCTCCAATCCGTAGCCCTCTTGTGCATAAGGAGGGCTCCAAGAGGAACCCTAAAACTTAGTCCATTTGAAATAACCTGTGGGAGGCCGTTTTTAACTTCAGATTTCCTGTTTGATGAGGAGACACCTAGAACGCTCACTCATATTATCAACTTAGGCCAGTTTCGAAAGATCTTTCAAGAATATGGAAATAAAGCATTTCCCTTTCCCACAAGGAAAAGAGTAAGTCCCCTCTTTAATCTGGAGACTTAGTCTTACTAAAAACCTGGAAAGAAGGGAGTCTTCCCCAAGGATCTATTACAACCAAAATAAAAGGCCTCCTATCAGGTGTTGTTAAATACCCGTGCTGCTGTGAAACTTCCGGGAGTCACTAGTTGGGTATACCTGTATAGCATTAAACTTATTTTCTCATGAATCCCTGCAGGTGCAAGAGAAGAACACCATGACCTACACTTGTGATCCTCAAGAAGATTTGAAGCTGTTGTTTAACAAACACACAGATAAGTAGCATGACAAGGACAAGGAAAAGTATGTGCAGTAATAAACCACACCTGTTGTTCTTATGCTAACAATTCAGAGTTAGTTGAACTGCAAGCTCAAGGACTTCCACCCTCCTGCAACTCTTTAAAATTAAGGAGGAGTATATAATCTCTGAGGGGAAAATGAGGTACATCAGCAGGACTTGTGTTCCAAGCAAGAGTCACAACCCCAGCCATGATGCAGCTTGTCAAAGCCCCAGTTTTGGGGTTTGCCTGCATCAGAATGGTTAAATCAAGCTAATTAACGTATGCATTACCTCACATAGTTATCCTTTTCATGGTGAAAACACTTAAAATCTACCCTCTTAGCATTTTTTAAGAATACAAGATTTCGTTATTTACTATAGTCACCATACTGTACAATAGATCTCTTGAACTTATTCCTCCAATCTAACTGAAATTTTGTATCCTTTGACCTACACCATGAAAGCAGCCATTTGTGACCTTCAGTTATTTCTGTGCTTACCTTTTTAAGCCTCAAAACATAGAATTTACCTCTGTCTAAAATATTTAATTAAACATAATTGTGACCCTACTCACAGGAAACTGTCACTACCAACAAAACAATGATATTGTATTTATAATTATGGTGGCTATTTTTAATTTATTTGAGTGTCTACTATGTGCAAAGTACTTTATATTCTTTCTGTTATTTGTTAATAATTCTCACTGACACTCAATAAACATGATAACCTTGATATTCCCATTTCATAAATTAGGAAACCAAGAGACAGAAAGGTTAATTATAGTGTTCAAGTTTAAGTAGCTAAAATTTGGCTTAGATAGAATTCAGGTCTAAGCCTGTCCAACCCAAACCCCTCATGCTTTGCCAAATTCTATTCTGCTTCCACTTAATATAAATAAACAAATTAGTTGTCTTAAATATCTTATATTTACATTGAAATTGTCTTCTTGAAACTCTTTGGCCTTCATTTTTTAAAATAAATTTTGTTGTGTATATCACTTTTTGAACTAATCTGCAGGTGAACTAGTTTTCAAAGACAGATCAGGCTGAAAATGTTGTGTCTGCAAAGAACCAGCTAGTGACTTGTCAGTAATTTAAATTCCATAAATGTTTTGATTCACACATATCAGAAAACTTCTTTGAAATTAACTGTCTTTTTCTCCACCTGCACCACTTTGCACATAAAGGAACAGCTCATAACTTATACAGTGCTACTTTCCTCTGATAAATAACAAAATAAAAAATAGCAAATATTTTTATATGAGTATGCATTCATTTTGCCATTGTTCATTAAAACAAAATTCCACTTCAGGGAAAGGGGTTCAAGAGAAGTGAAAAAAATGATTTTTTTAAAGTTGTTTGCCAGTGGCCGTGTAATGATCAGTTGCAGAATAAAAATCTCAATCACAGATCTTCTCTTTTTACTTGACCAGTATGTTTTCCACAGTACTTAAAATTCAGAGGATTAAATTATTTCTAACCCTTATTCTTCTTTTATACTTTTCTCACCAGCAAGGAAGGAAACTAACATTTATCAGGCACCTGTCACCTGCCCAACAGTCATCTTCCTACACACTTTCCTCTTACAAAGGCATGACCTAAGGAATAAAATGTCCATTTATAGTTGAGGAAACTAAGCATTAGATAAGTTTATTTGCCTAAGCTGACTTGTAAGCTGAACAAATAAATAATTTAGCCCTAGAGTGTAGTTTCCACCTTTTAGGTTGGCAGAGGCTTAACCAAAGGTAAAGATTAAGCTGAAATTATGACAAAAAAGCAATAATTGAGAACTGAAGAGGTCTTGGAGGTAATGTGATGGGAGGCGGTCATGGGGATCAGTGAAAAGACTGGCCTTGAACAGGATGATAAATCAAATTAATTGTCGGTGTAAGTAAGGGAACAGGGAATTCATGGGATCAGGGGAGGGGCACCAGCACAATATCTTTATTTTGACCTCATCTAAAGAAAAATCTAAATTGTCTGATTTTTAGGTTTAAAAAATACATAAAAATACAAAGAAGAGAAAAAGTGTCATTTTCTTATAATCAATAAGCTACTATTTTAAAGTCTAACATATCTGTTTTATGAGGTTTCTTTCCATTTTTAATTACACAAAGTCATGTACTGATATATTGTGCTTATTAAATTAGGACATAAAAAGTAGAAGTAAAAGACCCCTTTGCTCTTCTACTTCTCATGACAAAAAATACTATTCTCTGCTTTCACACACACAAATACGTACTAACACATGCACACACAAAGAAAATATTTTTGACATTTAGTGGTTTATTTTCTATTAACGTTATCATACTAGATGCATCATTTTCAACTTATTTTGCACTCAACATTGTTTTTCAGATTGATCTGTATTAACAAATAAAAATACAATTCATTTCTTGTAACTGCTATACAGTAATCCGTCATACGCCATGGTTGCCTAAGCAATTCCCTAGTTGATTACTTCTATGTTTTATTACAAACAATTCTGTGGTGAAAATCCTTGTACATGTTTCCATATGCACATTCATGAAATTCTTAGGTATTAAGAATATCTAAATTAGTTGTTCTCTAAGTAGATACCTACGAGTGAATCAAATGGTTAGTACTTATTTTAACAAATACCATCAAAGAGCTTTCCATGCTGGCTGTGCCACCAGCAGTGTACAACAGAGCTGCCATTTCCCATCTCTGGCCACACTTGATATTGTCAAGTGCTTTAGTCTTTGCCAATATGTGAAATATGTGAAAGTGGATTCTTATTATTACTATAATTGGCATTTCCCTGATTACCACCAAAGTTGGGCATCTTTAAAATGTTTGTATAAACAGTAAATTTTTTGTTTATACATTTACCTATTTATATATTGGTTGTTTAACTTTTTCTTCTTATACTCTAGCAGTGCTTTTTATATTCTGATTCTTTGGCTATTATACATGTTGCAAATATCTTCTCTCCAGCAGTGACTGGTCTTCTGACTTTGTTTATGGTGTCTTCTTATCATTCAAAAGCAATTTATGTATTATGTGGCCCCATTTATTGATCCAAATTTTATCTCTCATTTCAGAAAGACTTCTCTGGCCTAGATCATGAATATATTATCAAATAATATCTTCTATTAATTTTTAAAAAGAAATGTTTGAGTTTAGGATTTTTTTCATCTGGAATTTATTTTCATAGTCATGTAAAGTAGGAACCTAATTTTATGTTAAAACCTTCAAGTGGCTTCACATTTTCTTACAGGACTGAGGCCAAATACACTGTGTCCTGAAAGCATATGCTGATTCTGTGACTGTAATTCCCTTTTCATTCCTCACATTTTCAGTTGATTCATCTGACTCCTTTTACTCATACTTCAACATCCAGTGAAATATAGCCTCTTGCATGTAATACCCCTTGATCTACTCAGTGTTGAAAACCCTTCACTCATCTCCTGACTATACCTGGCTCATACACTATTGTCGCATTCATCACATTGTGAAGTCATTCATTTACATGCCAAGATTCTACTCTTGATTCTGAAATACCCCTTAATTGATGATCACCCTACTGTGCCTTCTCATGCCTCTAACTTATGAATGAGCTTATTCCTCTAGAATGAGAATGTTCTTTTCTACTTTTGTTCCTAACTCTGACTCTACTCTATTAGGTTTGTTTGTTTGTTTTTCCCTAAAGATGCACTCTTAGATGTGTAAAAATATTTGGCTAAAAGAATATTTGTTGCAGTACTCTTTATAATAGCAAAAACTAGAACCAATCTAAATTCATTAACAGGGGTTCCGTTAAATAAATTTAGAAAAGCTATATAATAAATACTAAACAGTCATCCATATTGAGTCACAGAAAAAATTTACATTATGCAGATATATATCAGGCATAAATTGAAATATGAAAATCAGATTAAACAAATCAGTATGGAAATAAAATATTATCTCATATATTACATATCACATATATTTGTGTCATACACCTATCATATGATATACTGTATATAAAGAGAGGGAGAGGGAAATAGAGAAGAAAAGGGAGGAAGAAGAGAAAGAAGGGGAGGAAAAGGAGAAGAAAAGGTGATTG
Source organism: Homo sapiens (assembly GCF_000001405.40). Taxonomy (NCBI): domain Eukaryota; kingdom Metazoa; phylum Chordata; class Mammalia; order Primates; family Hominidae; genus Homo; species Homo sapiens. Next base: position 90,599 of record NW_017363816.1, read on the forward strand.
AGGACTGGAAGAATATCCATCAAAATGTTGATAGTGATTATCTCTAGGTAATGGGCTAATAGGTGGATTTATACAAGTGTGTTGGAGGATGTATGTTGACCATCTTTATTTTCTTATTTTCTAAATTTGCTAAAACAAATATGGATTATGAATGAAAGACATTTTACATGGTCTCTAAAAAGAAGATACAGCTATCTTTGTTAACAAGATTAGTAATAATTTTTAATTACTACAAAACTACTCAGAATATTTACCCATGTATTTAATCTAGCGAGTTGAAATTTTTCAAAAGTAAGCAATATTTATAAGTTAATGGGGATGTTGTTCATCATAATTTGGACAATAAAAATAGGGGTGCACTAGTATTAGTCTTTCTGCTATTTGATATTTTAACTGTACCAAAAATCAGGGTACTTTAAATTACAATTAAAATAAGTGTGCTTTTCTAAAAAGTCTTTTCAGATGAAATTGTAGCAAGCTGGCCAAAAGACAGGCTATTTTTTAGCAATCCTCATCATGATTTCATATTTCTTAGTTAATTAAATAATATTTTTATCATCTAACAGCAGAAATGAATGGGTACAGAATTCAAGGTCTCAATTATAGCTAGCTATTATTAATTAGCTTCCCAAAATGTGTCAAAGTGAAAGAAAGCAATATTTCCTTTGCCAAAAATTCTGCAATTGTCATTTTTATTAGACATGGAGTTATGGGGATAAAACAAGAAACTTTTCCTGATAATCTCCCAAATGTGGTGGAAACTAATTTCTTGGAGACCAATTTTGCACTTTTTGTGACTTTTTTAACTTTTATTTTAGATTCAGTGGTACATGTGCAGGTTTGTTAAATAGGTATCATGGGGGTTTGTTGTACAGATTATTTCATCACCCAGGTAATAAGCATGGCATAGTACCCAATAGTTGGTTTTTCAATCCTCACCCTCCTTCCACTCTCTACCCTCTAGTAGGCTTTGGTGTCTGTTGTTCCCTCCTTTGTGGCCATGTGTATTCAGTGTTTAGTTCCCATTTATAAGTGAGAATGTGTGGTTTTGATTTTCTGTTCCCATGCTAGTTAGGATGATGGCCTCTTGGAGATTAATTTTGAATATTTCTTCCCATAACAGAGAAATTTATTTTCATATGAATTTATAGGTTGTTTTATCTTCGTGTAAAAGTGAATATGTTGTAACATGAGGAATTACAGACTATTTTTTCCAACAGAGGGTAAGTTTAATATAAATTATGGGAGCCTACAATCTTAAAAGGTGAAGCTTTGGAAGGGATATGGTGAGAGTTTGTAAAACCAGGGAAAAGATGGAATGAAAATGGACCTACATTTTAGATTTCAGAGTTTGAAATGAGAATGCTAAGGTAAAATAAAAAGAAACACCATGTTGTATTACTCAACAACAACAAAAAAATTTCTCTAAAGGCCGCATGTATTTCAAGCCTAAAAGAGATAGAAAAACAAAAGAAAGCAATTTCTTTATAGAAGGTTAGGAAAGGGTTGAGGTTTGTTGCGGGAAGTCAGGGACCCCAAACAGAGGAACCAGCTGAAGCCAAAGCAGAAGAACATAAATTGTGAAGATTTCATGGACATTTATTAGTTCCCAAAATTAATACTTTTATAATTTCTTATGTCTGTCTTTACTGCAATCTCTGAACATAAATTGTGAAGAGTTCATGGATATTTATCACTTCCCCAGTCAATACTCTTATAATTTCCTATGCCTGTCTTTACTTTAATCTCTTAATCCCGTCATCTTCATAAGCTGAGGATGTATGTCACCTCAGGACCCTGTGATGATTGCGTTAACTGTACAAATTGTTTGTAAAACATGTGTGTTTGAACAATATGAAATCTGATTGTACAACATGGGTGTTATGAACAATATGAAATCAGGGCACCCTGAAAAAGAACAGAATAACAGTGATTTTCAGGGAACAAGGAAAGATAAACATAAGGTCTGACTGCCTGTGGGGTCAGGCAGAATAAAGCCATATTTTTCTTCTTGCAGGGAGCCTATAAATGGACGTGGGAGTAGGAGAAATATTGCTGAATTCTTTTCCTGGCAAGGAATGTTAATAATTGATAACCCTGGGGAAGGAATGGATTCCCAGGGGTAGGCCTATAGACAACTGCTCTGGGATCGTCTGTCTTATGCGGTTGAGATAAGGGATGAAATATGCCCTGGTCTCCTGCAGTGCCCTCAGGCTTACTAGGGTTGGAAATTCCAGCCTGGTGAATTCTAGTCAGACCAGTTGTCTGCTCCCGAACCCTGTTTCCTGTTAAGATGTTTATCAAGACAATGTGTGCCCAGCAGGACATGGAACCTCATTGGTAATTCTAATTTCACCCTTGCCTTATGATCTTGCTCTGACCTTTTGGCTTGTGATCTTTTACTGCCCTTTGAAGCATGTGATCTCTGTGACCCTCTCCCTATTCATACACCCCTCCCCTTTTGAAATCCCTAATAAAAACTTGCTGGTTTTGTGGCTTGGGGTCACCATCACAGTCCTACCTATATGTGATGGCACCCCCAGAGGCCCAGCTGTAAAATTTCTCTCTTTGTACTCTTTCTCTTTATTTCTCAGACTGGCCGACACTTAGGGAAAATAGAAAAGAACGTACGTTGAAATATTGAGGGCTGGTTCCCCTGATAGAGGTAGACATGGTAATATCAAATAAGCATGTTGGGAGTTCACTATGTGCCAGAAACTGCATTAAGAACTTTAGAGAGATTAATCTAATTGTCACAATAACACTTTGATACATGTATACTCTTTACCTTTTATTTCCCCAGCTTTATTGAGGTATATAGGTGACACCTTAAAAAAGAAAGAAGTTTTGTCATTTGCAGCAAGATATATGGACCTGGAAGACATTATGCGAAGTGAAATAAGTCAGACACAGATAGACAAATACTGCGTGACCTCACTTATACTTGGAATCTAAAATATCTTTACTTTCATTTTAAAGACAGGCATCAGAGGTTTCTAGAAATCTCATCACTTTTCTCAAGATCATGCCACTAGCAAGCATAGAAAATAAGATTCAATACTATGTAGCCATAAAAAGGAATAAAATCATGTCCTTTGCAGGAACATGGATGGAGCTGGAAGCCATTATCCTCAGCAAATTAAAGCAGGAACAGAAAACCAAATTGAGAACTGCATGTTCTCAATTATATGTGGGAGCTGAACAATGGGAACACGTGGGCACAGGGAGGGGTCAACACTCACTGTGGCCCATCGGGGAGGGTGGGGAGGGAGAGCGTTAGAGAAAAGAGCTAATGCATGCTGGGCTTAATATCTAGGTGATGAGTTGATAGGTGCAGCAAACCACCATGGCACATGTTTACCTATGTAACAAACCTGAACATCCTGCACACGTACCCCAGAACTTTTAAAAAAATTAAAGAAAGGGCCGGGCGCAGTGGCTCATGTCTGTAATCCCAGCACTTTGGGAGGCTGAGGTGGGCAGATCACAAGGTCAGGAGATCGAGACCATCCTGTGAATGGTGAAACCCCATCTCTACTAAAAAATACAAAACTTTGGCTGGGCACGGTGGCGGACGCCTGTATTCCCAGCTACTCCAGAGGCTGAGGCAGAAGAATGGCATGAGCCCGGGAGGCGGAGATTGCAGTGAGCCAAGTTCGCGCCACTGCACTCCAGCCTTGGTGGCAGAGCAAGACTCCTCCTCAAAAAAAAAAATTAATTAAAGAAAGAAAATAAGATTCAAACTCAGATTGCTCTATCTCCAGAGCCAAACTCCTAACCTCTCTGCTATAGTGTAGCAGCGGTATTGCTGATGTCACACAGAGTGAGGAGAAGAAATAGAAGCCAGGCGTGGATGCAGAAGAGCCTACTATATATGGCTAAGTGTTAAGTAACATTTTGCCTCATGTTTCTACAACTCAATTAATTATCACACAGACTCAAATGATGTCAACATGGATTGCTACTTAAAGATCTGGATGATGGATCAAAAATAACTCATTTTAAGCTTTGGTTTAGGCATTTCAAAAATTGGTAATCTTGATTAATTGACTAACCACATCAGTAAACAGAGCTTCCTCATTTCTAAAATAGGAATAATAATCATTCATACCATGTATATTTCATACAGTTGTTTTATAATCAAATTATGCAATTCAAGTGAAAATACTAAATAAACAATAAAAGTCAGTGAAGGCTGGGCACAGTGGCTCATGCCTGTAATCCCAGCACTCTGGAAGGCCGAGGTGGGCAGATCACTTGAGGCCAGGAATTTGAGACCAGCCTGGCCAACATGGAAAAACTCCATCTCTTCTAATAATGCTTAAGATGGAATACAATTATACATGATACAAAAAAGTAAGGCTTGGTTTGTTTCACTTATAAAAATAAAGTCATTTTTATTTCCTGCTTTACCACTCATTATCCACTTGCAATTTCTTACCATGTAAAGAGCTTTCTCATGGCATTTTTTACCTCTTCATTTCTCAGGGTATAAATGAGCGGATTCAACATAGGTGTCAGAATACCGTAAAATAATGCCATATTTTTGTCTATAGATAAAATAGAAAATGGAAGCATATAAGTAAATATACAGGGCACAAAGAACAAGGCAAAAACAATGAAGTGGGCTCCACAGGTGGAGAGGGCTTTGCGTCTCCCATCTGCACTGTGGGACCTCAAGGAGTACAGGATGACAATGTAGGAGGCAGCCAGCATGAGGAAGTTCAACAGGCAGATTAAACCACTGTTGGCAACCACCAGCAGACCAATGACATGCATGTTGGTGCAGCCAACTCCCAGCAAAGGGTACAAGTCACAGACAAAGTGATTGATCACATTGGGCCCACAGAAGAGCAACCAAAGGACCAGGAGGAGCTGAACCAATGAATGCAGGAAACCCCCAAGTCAAGCCACCCCTACCAGCATGGCACAGAGATGCCTGGTCATGATGGTAGTACAGTGCAGGGGCTTACAGATGGCCACATAGTGGTCATAGGCCATCAGTGTGAGCAGAATGATCTCAACACCTCCCAAAAAATGAGCTCCAAAGAGCTGAGCCATGCAGCACTCATAAGAAATGGTTCTCCCCTCATACAAGGAGTCAGCAATGAGTTTAGGAGCCATAGAAAAAGAATAAAAGGTGTCAATAAAGGATAGGTTGGCCAGGAAAAAATACACAGGGGAAGCCAGGGTGGGGCTGGAGGTGATAGTGACCACAATGAGCATGTTGCCACAAACTGTGACCACATAAAAGACCACAAAGAGAACTCTCTGTACCTCTGAGTTCTGTGAGAGTCCCAGCATGACAAATTCTGTGATATTGTGTGGTATTTCCATAGATTCCAAGGTCACTGAGAATTCAGATGCAGAATTGCGTATAAAGACAAAGAGAAACATGAGTAATAGAACTAATTGCATGGGGAAAAACATTGCAAGTTTTCCTTTAATATACCCTTTGTCCCTCTTAACCCTCTTCTGTTCCGAAACTCTTATACAAATTTAATCTTCTGACCACAAAATGTCTGTTAACTTTAGCATCACTGGGCACCACATATCTCAGTTATTAGATGAAAATAATAACTTAATTATCTAAATTTGCATTTTTGTGGCTGCTGGGATTGAACATTTAACAGACATTTATTTTCCATTTCAAACTGGAGTAAATCTCTGATCACTTTCAGCATAGATTAGATTGCACTTGAGAATACCATGTAGAGTTAGGACCTCTTGAAATCTCTTGAAATCTCTGTGTGTATAGTCCATACTTCAAATTAAAGCTTTCTTCTTGGAGTTTGCAATGAAGTTGGTTACACTTTTTGTCGGTTTTTCCAATGGTAATACAATTGATATAAAACAAACTAAAGCAGGATTGGAAGAAACTGACTTGGTTGCAGCTAGAGACTTACCAAATTCTCTATTTCTCTACTTTCTCATTTATTGCATCTGCATACTGTGAACAGCATCATGCCTAGGAAGACAACTTAGCTTTCTCCTCCCCCTTGTTTTATACATTTTTACATCCTTCTGAGTTTTGCTTTCTCTGACCTTGGTGTAATCCTTCTAGTTAAGGACTACTAGTCCCCCTGCAATCTACAGGGAGGACTCAAAGTAAAAAACAGAATTAAAAAAAATGGGGAGTATCAGTGAAAGGTACTAGTAGATGATTATCTGCCTATAACTGCATAAGGGAAGCTACAAGGGCAGAGGAACAGGTGTCCTGTCTTAACCAGCTATCAATTATAACTTTATATGACAGAATATTCCTACTCACCCTTTTTTCCCCTGACGATATTAAGGAAATGCCTGTGAAATAGACCTAATAGTCCAATAGATAGTTTTGGGGTTTTTTGGAGAGACTTAAAAATTGCCCTTCTGGTCTTAAAACTTAAAATTTACATTTGTCTTATCTGAATTCCCTCCTCAAAACATTCACCCTTGGACATCCCAAAAACTATCAAAAAACTAAAACTCACCAAATCACTGCATTCAGGAAATAAGTTATCAGACCCTATATTCATCATAATTATTTGCTTAGCCTTCCCTGTTTTCCTAACCGACCACCTACTTCTTATTGTCCAATTCCTCTTCCTTACCTGTCTCTAACTCCTGTTTTAACAGTTATGTTTCCTCCCTGCTATATAAACCCCTAATTTCAGTTGATTGAGGAGATTGATTTGAGACTAATCTACCTTCCAGCTACAACACCCAATTGAAGCCTTTTTCCCCGGGGAATACTCATTGTCTCAGTAATTGGCTTTCTGTGTGGCCAACAGCAGGACCTAGACAGAACCCCTGGCCCTCTGGTAATACCTGTGCCTATCTTAAATTTTGAAACTGTCACTAACCCTCTCCACCACCCTATCCTTTTCCTGGAAACATAGGTCTTCTTAAAGTAGCTGAATCCTCCAACTTGCTGCAGATTTAATGCTCAGCATGACAAGAATTAAAGGAGAAACATCAAGTGTCAGAAGAAGAAAGAGGTACCCAGATATATAGAAACACTGGAGAGAAAACTCTTGTACCGATCATGAAACTGCTACCTTTTTCTCTCTCCACACTTCATTGCAAGAAGGTAAATATAGCTCCTGCAAGTGACAAGTCTGATGGGGACTTTTTGAAGGTAGAACATTATGGCCAAAAACACAGACAACAGTGATGAGAGGAAACACCTACATAGAATTTAGCCTTTGCCAAGCACTAACCAAACACTTATGTAGGTCAGCTTGTTTAATCTTCACATCATTCCCATGAAGTAGATTACTGGTTTTATCCTCATTTTTCAGAGGAAGAAAGTAAGAAATGCATAACTAATAAGTGGCATAACTGGGGCTGGTACCCAGGCAGTCTTGCCCCAGCTTGTGGGTTTCACGGTACCATACTGTCACTTAAACACATCTGGGTTTGAATCCCTCCTCTGCCATTTTATTGGCTGTGTTACTATGAACAACTTCTCAAGACTCAATGTTCTTATCTGTAAAATGAAGATAAGAGTACAGCAACACTCTGAGGCTGCAGAGAGGCATAAAAATCAATTTATATCAAGCGTTTGTACAGATAAACATTCAATACATGGAGTCTCTAACACCATCTTCAATATCCCAGGCAGTAAATTTTTCATATGGCTATTAATATGGGTACAGTATAATATGGGTATAATTATAAATATGAAAAATGCTCTAATGCTGATCCTTATGCAGAACACAAGAGTAGAGAAAATGTAATTAGTGTGAGTAGTATACAATGTAGCCAAATAATGGATTTATATGCCCAGAAATAAAAATAATAAGCTGATTCACCTCTGTGATTTAAATTTGTGGGAGTGTCAAATAAAATATTTGTTAAAAACTAATAAAGAAAGAAAGTTTCCTGTTTGAATTATCCATGAGAAATAAAATTATTTTGTGGAAAATAATGAGAATTCTAGTAAATTTATTCCACTGCATTTTTATTTGGGTTGCCTTTTTCTTGCATTTTATTATAAAAACACATTATAGAAAACTTACAGTGACTGGATCTGGGGACACCAACAGACTAACAGGTCTTCAGATTTTTTTTTAAATTTGAACATCATGGAATGGTGTACCTGGAAGAGTGTTTAAAATGTCTTCAAGGCCTAAAATGTCTTCAAGGCCAACTCCAAGTGTATGATCCTGAATTTCAATAGTTCATGTTATTAAATTCCTGGTGAGATTCAAATTGCTTTTTACATTGAGGCAAAGCACAGACTGGGAAGTTGCTATCGATTACAGAAACTCACCTAAGCTAAGTCTCTTAGAATCATACTAGGTAAAAACCCAAAGGGGGGTCATTTATTTACAAGTAGCTGGGAATTTGTTCCATCATCCGTTTCCTTTTTTTTTTTTTTTTTTGTATTTAACCACATATTTATCATTTCTGGTGCACTTTATTCCTTTGTTTAGGTATTATTTTTGCCTCTGCCTGAAGCGCTTCTTTGAATATTTCTTGAGCAGGTGTGCTGGTGATGAATTTTTTCGGTTTTTGCATATCTGAAAAAGTTTATATTTCATTTTCTTTTTCTTTTTCTTTTGAAATAATATAGGCTTACAAGAAGATGCAAAAATAGTTAATAGAGTCAATCTCAAGAGCCCTTCACCCAGTTTCCTCCAAGAGTAGCATCTTATTTCCCTTTTATTTGCTGAAGACTCCTATGACATTTCAAACTTTTTTCAATGGCCTCCATGTAAATGGTGGATCTGAGACTCAGAAAAACTAAGTGCAGTTTATCTAAAGTCACATGAGTGATTGGTGAATCAGCTTTGAGACTCAGAAAGATGAAATGCAGCTTATCTAAAGTCACATGAGTAATAGGTGACAGAGACACAGCTGGAACCTGGGTGGCTCATCACCCAGACTGTCCCCTTCCCAATACAGCCACCACCTTCCACTTTTACTCCCTCAGGCTTTGACAAGTCAAAAAGCACTGCCACTAAAATTCAGGAGAAAAGCCTCACAGAAGGGATAGCTGACTTGTTAGCTCTGCATTCTGCTAAGAATATTCATCAGCACAGTCTCAGAAAATCTTTCTCCCTCCACTGCAAAGGCTTATTGTTTATAAGGTAGAAATGAGAACACATGGATTATTAGTACTGTATGCTTTCTGCCTTTCCAAGGGAGACAAATTCTCCCTCACAGGATCTCTTGCTGAAGTGGTGTCAGAATGAGCCTTGTTCACAGGTGAGAACAACATTGATGCCATCATTTAATTAGTCCCCATGAATAGAGTTTTGGTCTCACAAGGAAATAACTTACATTCTTCCTTCTAAAAGTACCAAATGTCCTTCTAGTCTCTGGGGAGAATTCACAAATTATCCAGAAGAAAGAAAACTAGGATATTTCAGAACCTGATATTGAAAGGTCAGTGTTTATAAGGAAATCACTGACTGAACAACAACAAAATCAACAGCACTTATTGAGCATCTCTTGCATTCTAGGCATAGGTCCTAGGCCCTCTCACATCCATCCTCTCTTTTGTCTCCCCCCTTCAAAGCAAAGAGAGAAGAATCACTGTCCATTATCCACACCTATACTACGTAGCATGCTAAAATATCAAGGGAACTACAGTCAGAACAATCTGAATTGGAATTACACTTCCACCGTTTTGACCATTCAGTAAGTGTTTATTACTCAGCCCCTAGCTAATAAAAGACAACACTTTGCTAAATGCCAGGACTATCATGGTGAATATGATGAACCTGGCTCCCAGCAGCATGGAGCTTATATTCTAAAAGGGGCAGTGGCCACCTGCCAACTAAAGCAGGAAGGAAAACTAAACAAATAGAATAATTACAAAATAAAATATATGGAATTGTGGGTAAATTGTATAAATATTTTTAATGCCAATATTACTGGCCAGATCCAGGTCCATTCTGCCCACCTACAGTAAATCAATCACTGCAACTCGGGTTTTGCCGAGGAGAAAATATTTATTTGCAAAGCAAGCAGGCAGGAGGAGCAGCTCTCAAACCTGCCTCCCCAAAGATAAGGCTTAGGGATATTTATGGGTTAGGGAAGTGAGGTGGTCTAAAGCATGGAGAAAGGTGACTGGCAGTGGGGGAAAATGAAGTAATGGGTTTGCTCTGAGCAAGCATAGTCTGGGTTAAGGGCATTTCGTAGGACATATGTACATAAAATTGTAACGTTAGCCTAATCTGAAGGTGGAGGTGTTTGGCCTCCGATGTCAAAATGACATCTTTCCAATACTGTGCAGGTCCAATTCAAGGGTCAGTGGTCTCACTGGTTTGAAATGGACAGGAGCTGACCCAAGTTCCTGAAAAACAACTGAAACAACCATTGCTACAGTGACCTATGAATGTTATCTACAAAGTAGAAAACATCTACTAAATTAGAACTCTACGAAGTTTCTATAAGCTCTTGTACTCTTTTCAGCTATCCCGGCCTTCAGCTTTATGGAAAAAGGAAAAATAAAAATAAAAAAAATCAAACAACCAAAAGGAAGCAAGGCAGGAAGACCTAATCAAATTAACTTTTCAGTTTCATTGATAAATGTTGATCAATTTCTCTCCAAAAAGGCAGCATTGCTTTACCTTCCTGCCTAAGCCCAACAATCCCGCTTTTAGGAATTAATCCAACAGATACAGTCCCACATGTTTACAATAGAATTGCTGAGTAAGAGGGATAGACATGTTTAATACTTATTCATATATGCAACAATCTTTGTAACAATTTATGTTTGTAAACATTTGTAACCTTTTACATTTCCAATACCCTTGTCTGTATTGCCACATACACCCTGCAATTCTCCCACACTAGATGAATTTTATTCTAAGCCTTCTCCAGACCTATTTCCTGAAAGCATTCAGAAAGTCACAAAATAGGGAAGATTTAATTTATATAAATTTGTGTCACCAACTTCAAAAGGCACATCAATATTGCTCAGCAATCCTAGTATATTGCTTTAGTCAACACATGTTCCCAACTCTCAAGAACCATGTATAACCTTTCTCACTTTCTTCAAAATTCCCTTCCCCAACCTGCAGTCTCCACTCTACACCTTTAACTCAAAGACTCCCTGTCAGTCTTGACAAAATTTACTTAGAGATACATTGTAACCTAGAACCTACCTTTCTTTTTTTCCCCTCCCTCTCTCCTTCATAGGAGTTATACCTGAATTATTCCTGGTAGCTTCTCCCACCTTCCTTCACTAGTTTTTCCCCAATAAATCTCTTGCATATTTATCTTAGTAGCTGCATAGTATTTCCAAACTAGTGTCTGCTTTTCACAGAACCGGGACTGATACAGAATATATAAGGAACTACCTTATAAGATAAACAAGATAAAGACAGACTACCATGTGAGACTTAAACAAGCACTTCAGAAAAGATGGAAAGTAAACATGTAAGAAAGTTGGGGGGTGGTTCACCTCTTAGTTATCCTGAAAAAAATATGTAAAACCACAATAAAATACCACAGCAATGCTCTCTCCACATGGCTAAAATTAAAGACTGTCAATACCCAGTATTTGTTGTCAATATAGAGGAGTGGTATCTCTCATGCCTGCTGGTAGAAATGTGCATTTGTTGTTTAAGTGTATGTTGGAAAACTATTGGATATTATCTACTAATGTTGAATATATGTATATATATGTATGTGTATATGTGTATATATATGCCATGACTCAGACTCCACTCTTAGGTAGAAATCCAAAACAAAAGTGTGCATTTGTACATTGGAAGACACATCATCAAGAGTGTTAATAAAGCATTATTTGTAACAGCACAAAATTGGTAACAAGCCAAATGTTCATCAATAATAGAATGGATTTAAAAAGTGATGGTATAGGCACAGTGGCTCACACCTGTAATCCCAGCACTTGGGGAGGCTGAGGTAGGAGGATCTCTTGAGGTCAGGAGTTCGAGACCAGCCTAGGCAATATAGAGAGACCCTGTCTCTCTCTCGCTCTTTTTTTTTAAAGAGGTGTTTGGGAAATTCTACTATGTAGATGTCCACTGCTGAAGGGCTGTCTTGGGTCGTAACCAAGATGCATGGCCTGAGAGCCTGTGATGATTATTTGTGTTTGTGCAAACTCCAGAGCAGCCCAAGCTCCTGGACAAAGAGACACTCCACTCTGTTTTTAACTGACTTGATCAGACATATGAGGAGATACAGGTCATTGTCTCCAGCATCAAAGGAATGAACCAAGATGTTGATTTTGAAGAGCCAACACTTTCCCAACAAGCCTCCACAGTGTGACCTCACAGGGTCTCTACCGGCATGGCACTGAGTCTCAGAATTAAGGCATGTGAGGCTGGGCCACATTCTAGCAGAGGTGCCACTCAAAACACGGCCTGGAGTAATCAAAAGATGTTGATGTAGCAGCTCCTCACCAGATGTCTTGCTCCCACTATTGCCCCTCCATGTCCAATCTCTTGACAAGCAGCTGGAATGTTCTTTTTAGTGTTTTTGTTTTGTTTTGTTTTTTCTTTGAGACGGAGTCTTGCTCTGTCACCCAGGCTGGAGTGCAGTGGCATGATCTCTGCTCACTGCAACCTCTGCCTCCTGGGTTCAAGCAATTCTCACGCCTCAGCCTCCTGATTAGCTGGGATTACAGGCGACTGCCACCATGCCTGGCTAATTTTTGTATTTTGTAGTAGAGACAATGTTTCACCATGTTGGCCAGACTGGACTTGAACTCCTGACCTCATGTGATCCACCCACCTCAGCCTCCCAAAGTCCTGGAATTACAGGCATGAGCCACCACACCCTGTTTTTGTGTTTTGTTTTGTTTTTAGCTATAAGGTCTAGCTTTGTCCCTCAGCCTGCAGTGCAGTGGTGCAACCATGGCTCACTGCAGCCTCTGTCTCCTGGGCTCAAGTGATTCTGCCCCCTCAGCCTCCTGAGGAGGTGGGACTACAGGCCCATGCCACCACATCTAATGGAGTTTTACTCTTGCTGTCCAGGTTGGAATGTAATGGCCTGATCTCAGCTCAGCCTCCCAAAGTGCTGGGATTACAAACATAAGCCACCATGTCTGGACTCTTTTAGCTATTTTTAATAAAAATTTTAAATATAAATTATTGTTTACTACAGACATCCAGTTTTGCTACCAAATACTACATCTTATTCATTCTAACTGTATTTTTGTACCCATTAATCACTCACTACAAACTCTGCCTCCTAGGTTCAAGCAATTCTCCTGTCTCAGCCTCCCAAGTAGCTGGGACTACAGGCATTCGCCACCACATTGGCTAATTTTTGTATTTTTAGTAGGTATGGGGTTTCACCATGTTGGCCAGACTGGTCTTGAATTGCTGACCTCAGGTGATCTTCCCCCCTCCACCTCCCAAAGTGCTGGGATTATAGGCATGAGCCACTGCACCTGGCACACCTGGTTCATTTTTTAAATGTTATTTTTGCAGAGACAGGGGTCTCAGTATGCTGCCCAGGCTGGTCTCAAAATGCTACCCTAAGATAATCCTTCCCCTTCAGCCTCCCAAAGTCCTGGGATTAGAGTTATGAATCACCGTGCCTAGCCTCATTCTCTTTTAATTAGCACAGTTTCAATTTCTTATTATAGAAATACCATCAAATAGAAAATGTCAATTTTTTTTTTTTTTTTTTTATTGATCATTCTTGGGTGTTTCTCGCAGAGGGGGATTTGGCAGGGTCATAGGACAATAGTGGAGGGAAGGTCAGCAGATAAACAAGTGAACAAAGGTCTCTGGTTTTCCTAGACAGAGGACCCTGGGGCCTTCTGCAGTGTTTGTGTCCCTGGGTACTTGAGATTAGGGAGTGGTGATGACCCTTAACGAGCATGCTGCCTTCAAGCATCTGTTTAACAAAGCACATCTTGCACCGCCCTTAATCCATTTAACCCTGAGTGGACACAGCACATGTTTCAGAGAGCACTGGGTTGCGGGTAAGGTCATAGATCAACAGCATCCCAAGGCGGAAGAGTTTTTCTTAGTACAGAACAAAATGGAGTCTCCTATGTCTACTTCTTTCTACACAGACACAGCAACAATCTGATTTCTCTGTCTTTTCCCTACATTTCCCCCTTTTCTATTCGACACAACTGCCATCATCATCATGGCCCATTCTCAATGAGCTGTTGGGTACACCTCCCAGATGGGGTCGTGGCCGGGCAGAGGTGCTCCTCACATCCCAGACGGGGTGGCGGGGCAGAGGCACTCCCCACATCTCAGACGATGGGCGGCCGGGCAGAGATGCTCCTCACTTCCTAGATGGGATGGCGGCCGGGAAGAGGCACTCCTCACTTCCTAGACTGGGCAGCCGGGCAGAGGGGCTCCTCACATCCCAGACGGGGCGGCGGGTCAGAGGCGCTCCCCACATCTCAGATGATGGGCGGCTGGGCAGAGACGCTCCTCACTTCCTAGACGGGGTGGCGGCCGGGCAGAGGCTGCAATCTCGGCACTTTGGGAGGCCAAGGCAGGTGGCTGGGAGGTGGAGGTTGTAGCGAGCCGAGATCATGCCACTGCACTCCAGCCTGGGCAACATTGAGCACTGAGTGAACGAGACTCCATCTGCATTCCCGGCACCTTGGGAGGCCGAGGCTGGCAGATCACTCCCGGTTAGGAGCTGGAGACCAGCCCGGCCAACACAGCGAAACCCCGTCTCCACCAAAAAAATATGAAAACCAGTCAGGCGTGGCGGTGCGCGCCTGCAATCGCAGGCACTCTGCAGGCTGAGGCAGGAGAATCAGGCAGGGGGGTTGCAGTGAGCAGAGATGGCAGCAGTACAGTCCAGCTTCGGCTTGGCATCAGAGGGAGACCATGGAAAGAGAGGGAGAGGGAGACCGTGAGGAGAGGGAGAGGGAGAGGGAGAAGGAGAGGGAGAGGAAGAGGGAGAGGGAGAGGGAGAGCGAAAATGTCAATGTTAAGCAGGATTTTCATGTAAAGGTGGCAAATCACAAAATCTCCCTTCCTTGATACGTATTCATTCTTTTTTGTTATTTTTATTTATTTAAATTTTTAGATGGAGTCTCACTCTGTCACCCAGGCTGGAGTGTAAGGGCACAATCTTGGCTCACTGCAACTTCTGCCTCCCAGATTCAACTAGTTCTCCTCCCTCAGCCTCCCGTGTAACTGGGATTACAGGTGTGCACCACCATGTCCAGCTAATTTTTGTATTTTTAGCAGGTATGAGGTTTCACCATGTTGGCCAGGCTTGTCTTGATCTCCTAACCCGAGGTGAAACACTTGCCTCAGCCTCCCAAAGTGCTGGGATGACAGGCTTGAGCCACTGCACCCGGCCCCTTGATACTTATTCATTCTAATGACATTTATTTTGTGCCTACTATGTGCCAAGTACTATATTAGGTTCTGAGAATGAATAAGATGGGACTCCTGCAATAGGGAGCCACTGTTCTGATTCGGCATGAGTTTGAGAGGAGGACATGCAGACAAGCAATTCAGTAAATAGCAAGCTGAGTTTTGAGAGTGATATCTGCTTTGAGAGAACCAGGCAGGTTGAGGCAATGAAAAAGGAGGATGATTCCCCCTCCACAGGATGAGGGAGGATTTCTCTGCAGAGGTGATGTGTGAGCTGTGGTCTGAAACATGAGAAAAATCCAGCTATGGCAGGAGGTATGGGAAGTCCATTTAGGGCAGGGGAGAGCATGTGCAAAAGTCCTGAAGAGGGAAAGCACTTGGCATTTACAGGAGCAGAAAAGAAGCCCAGATGCCTGATGCACAATGAGCAAGAGGAAAAGAACAGAGGGTGGCAGGCAGGGTCAGATCATGCTAGGACTGGTTTTTTTTTTTAAGAGACATGGTCTCACTCTGCCACCCAGGCTGGAGTGCAGTGGGGCAATCATAGCTCACTGCAGTCTCAACCTCCTGGGTTCAAGGGATCCTGCCATCTCAGCCTCCCAAGTAGCTGGGACTATAGGAATGAGCCCCACCATGCCTGGCTAAGTTTTTTATTATTAGAGAGAGGAGTCTTCCTATGTTGCCTATGTGGGGCTCAAACTCCCAGACTCAAGTGATCCTCCCATCCTGGCCTCAAAAAACACTGGAATTACAGGTGTGTGCCACCATATCTGGCAAAGATAGGGAGTTTAGAAAATGCTTCACTTTTAATTTTTGTGGGTACATAGTAGGTGTATATATTTATGGGGTGCATGAGATGTTTTGGTACAGGCATATAATGTGTAATAATCACATGAGGGTTAATGGGATACCCATCACCTTAAGCATTTGTCCTTTCTTTGTTTTACAAACAATCCAATTGTGCTCTTATCGCCTTTTTTTTTTTTTTTTTTTTTTGAGATGGAGTCTAGCTCTGTCGCCTGAGTCAGAGTGCAGTAGTGTGATCTTGGCTCACTGCAACCTCCACCCCCCTCCCCCAGGTTCAAGCAATTCTCCTGCCTCAGCCTCTTGAGTAGCTGGGATTACAGGTGTGTGCCACCACACCTGGCCAATTTTTGTATTTTTAGTAGAGACAGGGTTTTGCCATGTTTGTCAGGCTGGTCTCGAACTCCTGACCTCAGGTGATCCACCTGCCTCAGCCTCCCAAAGTGCAGGGATTACAAACATAAGCCACCACAT
Source organism: Homo sapiens (assembly GCF_000001405.40). Taxonomy (NCBI): domain Eukaryota; kingdom Metazoa; phylum Chordata; class Mammalia; order Primates; family Hominidae; genus Homo; species Homo sapiens. The sequence continues at coordinate 107,146 of NW_017363816.1, forward strand.
CTGGCCTCTTTTAGCTATTTTTAAATATAAATTATTGTTTACTACAGTCACCCTGTTGTACTACCAAATACTACATTGTATTCGTTCTAACTGTATTTTTGTACGCATTAATCATTCCTGTGCACCCCCTCCAGCCCACTGCAGTTCCCAGCCTCTGGTAACTATCATTCTACTCTCTATCTTCATGAGTTCAATTGTTTTTTTAGCACCCACAAATGCCTGGGAACATGCAAAATTTGCCTTTCTGTGTCTGGCTTATTTTAGTTAACATAGTGATCTCCAGTTCTACCCATGTTGTTGCAAATAACAGGATTCTATTCTTTCTCATGGCTGAATAATATTCCATTGTGTATATGTACCACATTTTCTCTATTTATTCACCTGTTGATGGACACTTAGATTGCTTCCAAATCTTGGCTATTGTTAATAGTGTTGCAATAAATATAGAAATGCAGATATTTCTTCGATATACTGATTTTCTTTCTTTGGGGTATACACTTAGCAGTAGGATTACTGGATTATGAATTAGCTCTATTTTTAGCTTTTTGAGGACCCTCCAAACCGTTCTTCATAGTGGTTGTACTAATTTACATTCCCACCAACAGTGTACCAGGGTTCCCTTTTCTCCACATCCTGAATAGCATTTGTTATTGCCTGTCTTTTGGATATAAGCCATTTTAACTGGGGTGGGATGATAGCTCATTGTAGTTTTGATTTCTGTTTCTTTGATGATCAATGATGTTGAGCACATTTTCATATACCCATTTATCATTTATGTCTTCTTTCGAGAAATGTGTATTCTGATCTTTTGCCCATGTTAAAATCAGATTATTAGACTTTTTTTCCTATTGAGAGAGAGAAAAAAATGAAAGAAAGACAAGAAGGAAGGAATGAAGGAAGGAAAGAAGGAAAAAGAAAGAAAGAAGAGAGAGAAAGAAAGAGAAAGAGAAAGAAAGAAAAAAGAAAGAAAAGAAAAGAAAAGGGAAAAGAAAGAGAAGATTGCATGGAGCGATAGAGAAGTACATAGTCAGTAGTCTAAGGGCACATCATATACCTGGAAAAACTAATACGGAATCGCTGGCCTCCATCCAACCCTGGCTAAGCTATTGAATTTCAATGATAAACAAAGTATTCCCATGGCCTTTGGGCAGGAAAACGTAAGTGCGTGTGAGAATAACCTCCAGCCAGCCTCAGAGCCTTCCATAACCCCAGCCAGAGCTAGATGACAATAAAGCCAGAACTTAAAGGAAGAACTGAAGAAAAGGAAAATGAATCAAGAATATTCTCCCAGGCCAGGTGCGGTGGTTCACGCCTGTAATCCCAGCACTTTGGGGGGCTGAGGTGGGTGGATCACCTGAAGTCAGGAGTTTGAGACCAGCCTGGCCAAGATGGTGAAACCCCGTCTCTACTAAAAATACAAAAATTAGCTGGGCATGGTAGCGTACACCTATAATCCAAGGTACTCAGGAGGCTGAGGTGGGAGAATTGCTTGAACTTGGGAGGTGGAAGTTGCAGTGAGCTGAGATTGCACCACTGCACTCCAGCCTGGGTGACAGAGCAAGACTCTGTCTCAAAAAAAAAAAAAAAAAAAAAAAAAAAAAAAAAAAAAGAATAGTTATCCAAGTATAAATGCATTAAACAGAAACTCTCAAACATGAATCAGTTCCAAAAATACAGCTGCTGTGGGTGAAAATAGAAACTGCAGGTTAAAAAGAATCATGATACTTTTATTATCTCTTTTCATAATTTTAATGAATGTTGAATAAAAAGATATAACTTTCACATATCTGAAGTTCAGAAATTGTCCCACCTTACTTTAGTTTCTTCAGCTTCTGTTGTATCAAGCAAAATGAAAATTATATATGTTTAAACTAAAACACATATAAAACACATAAAGTTATCTATTTTTTTGAGACAGTGTCGCTTGGTTGCCAGGCTGCAGTGCAGTGGCACGATCTCAGCTCACTGCAACCTACACCTCCCAGGTTCAAGCGATTCTCCTGCCTCACCCTCCCAAGTAGCTGGGATTACAGGCACTTGCCACCACGCCCAGCTAATTTTTGTATTTTTAGTAGAGACAGGTTTTCATCATGTTGGCCAGGATTGTCTCAATCTCCTGACCTCGTGATCTGCCTGCCTCGGCCTCTGAAAGTGCTGGGATTACAGATGTGAGCCACAGCACCAGGCAAAGTTATTTTTAATCCATTAATACATCTACTTACCTAACTACCTATTTGCACAAAAAGAGGTATGAATTATCACCTTTTTTTTTTTTTTTTCGAGACAGAATCTCTTTCTGTTGCCCAGGCTGGAGTTGGAATTGTGTAATCTTGGCTCACTGAAACCTCTGTCTCCAAGGCTCAAGCGATTCTCGTGTCTCAGCCAGGCATGAGCTATGAGGCCTGGACATACCACATAATGTTGAGTTATTTCTTGGTGGTTGAAAATTCCATTATTATTTATTACTTGCTTGTTTGTACTTGTTTCTCTCCCTCTCTCCCACTCCCTCTCTCTGACAGGATCTCACTCTGTTACCCAGGCTGCAGTCTCAAACTCCTGGGTTCCGTGATCCACCTGCCTCAGCCTCCCGAGTAGCTGGGACTAAGGGTGCACATTACCATAACTGGTTTTTAAGTTTTTATGGAGATGAAATCTTGCTATATTCCTCATGCTGGTCTCATACTCCTGGCCTTCAGCAATCTTTCTACCCTGCCTTCCCAAAGTGCTGGGATTACAGGTGTGAGCTATAGCACCCAGCATGCTGTATAATTTTATAGGACTTAGATTTTATATAATAATTACAAATAATTTTTACAAAAGCAGTAGCCATTCTAAACTTTTTAAAATTAAGCAGTAATTAAGAATGAGGCACAGAAAGTAGTATTAATTCAGCACCTATTATATACTAGATATTTTGCATAGAGCGGATCACCTAGCCCACATATCAAGGCAGGAATTATAATCTTTATTTTCCAGGAGATGAAACTGTGGATTACAAGCATTTGTTAATTCTAGAGTTACACAGCAGCTGCCAAAATAAGTTCCCTCTTCCCAGCAGCCTGCCCCCTGCTGGTTTTATCAAATTCAACAGCCCCCCACTTCCACCCCAACATCGGTGCACAAGAATGTTCACACACACACAGATTTCTGCTATATTCCATCTGCCTAGGCCAGGAGCTTGTCATGACAAACCAAATGTAATACCTATTTCCTGACCAAAGCTGTTATTCAGTATCTACGATTTGAGAAATAGTTTGATTTCACCCTGACAAGGATCACACTGAGGTCTTAAAAGAAGTAATAATTACAAACCATCAAAGTCTATGTGAAAGGGTGTGGTGTTCAGATATATCCAGCCCTTTGAGATGCTCTGCTGGAAGGTGGTTGAGGTGCAAAGTACTATTGACTCATGGTCATCTTGGTCCATGGTCATTAATAATGACAGTTTGTACTTTTGTGTTTGTGCTAAGGGTGGTTTTGAAACCTGGAAGAAGCTTATCAATGTCTAGGTATTCAAATATCTCTTTCACAATGTATGTGTGTGTGTGCTATGAAAATACATACACACATATATTCACATATGAATGTATACACATATTTATATATTTACACTATACTAATAAAAAAGTAAATTCTTTTTTTTTCTTTTTAAGATGGAGTCTCAATCTGTCACCCAGGCTGGAGTGCAGTGGCATGATCTCAGCTCACTGCCACCTCCGCCTCCCAGGTTCAAGCAATTCTCCCGCATCACCCTCCGGAGTATCTGGGATTACAGATGCCTGCCACCACACCTGGCTAATTTTTGTATTTTTAGTAAAGACGGGGTTTCATCATATTGACCAGGCTGGTCTTGAACTCCTGACTATGTAATCCACCCACCTCATCCTCCTAAAGTGCTGGGATTACAGGCATGAGCCACGGTGCTGGCATAAAGGAAATTCTTAATAATCCATGAAAAGAAAATGGTAGGCCAGATATCGTGCCTCCCACCTGTAATCCCAGCACTGCAAGAGGCTGAGGGGGGAGGATGGCTTGAGCCCAGGAGTTTGAAACCAGCCTGGGAAACATGGTGAGACCCCCTCTCTACAAGAAATATAAAAATTACCTGGGCATGGTGGCTCATACCTGGGGTCCCAGCTACTCAGCAGGCTGAGGTGGGAGGATCACTTAAGCCAAGAAAGAAGAGGTTGCAGTGAGCTGGGATAATAACACCACACTCCATCCTGAAAAAGTGGTACCTTGCCTCAAAAAAAGGGAAAAAATTGGTATCCATGAAAAATTTAAAATATCTATATATACATAAATCTATACAGAAATACTATATTAATCAAAAAATAAATTCTTAATAGTTCATGACAGGCAAATAGCAGGCCAGGCACAGTGGCTCATGCTTGTAATCGCAGCAATTTGGGAGGCTCAGGCAAAAGGATTACTTTTGTCCAAAAGTCTTGGAACAGCCTGGGCAATATAGTGAGAACCAACCTCTCAGAAAAAAATCAGAAATTAGCCAGGCATGGTGGCTTGTGCCTGTAGTATCAGCTACTCAAGATGCTGGGTTGGGAGAATCACTTCAGGCCAAAAGCCCAAGGCTGCAGTAAGCCATGATCACACGACTACACTCTAGCCTGGGTGACAGAGCAAGACCCTAACAAAACAAAAAAGATAACTGTAAAAAATATAAATATAGAAGACATGAAGTGAGAAGCTGCCATGTCCAGAGTGAAGAAAAAGGGCCCAAGCAAAGGCTCATTCCCATTGCCACCCAAAGAAGACAAAAAAAGATGAGACACTAAATAAAACAAAAATCACTATGAAAGCACACAGGCAGAATTTATTATAAGTTTGTCAGAAATCCACTGTCAAGATTAAAAGAAGAGACAGGTGTTTTGCTAAGGCAATCTGCTCTGAAGTTACCAACAAATAAGAGTCCAGGGAAGCTTTAGGCTCCTTGATGCTGTTGACCATCAAAGACTAAAAAGCTGGATCCAGAAGAGGTGACTGTGAGGCAAGAGCAAAGCCAGAAGAGGACACTAGGAGGCAGAAGATGGATTCGAGTGGCCACTATGAGGCCAAAGATGGGCCAGAAGAGGCCATCGTGAGACAGGAGCTGGTATAACTGAGACCACAGTGAGACAGGAGCTGGGACTTGGGAGGCAGACGTGAGGAAAGAGATGGGCCAGGTGAGGATAGTGAGAGGCAGTAGCTGGGCCTAGAGAGGCCAGTGTGAGGCAGAAGCTGGGTCTATTGAGGCAGCCTTAAGAAGCCATTGTCAGGCAAAAGCTGGGCCTGTTCAGGCTGCCACAAGGAAGGCAGTGAAACTGGAGGGCTGGACTTGAGAAAGTTTTGGGTCTACAAAGGCTGCCAGGAGCTGGACAGGAGCGGAGTCCAAAGAGGTTGTTGTGAGGCAAAAGCTGAACTGGTAGATGCACCTGGGAAGAACAGATGGGCCAGAAGAGGACACTGGGAGGCAGCAACTGGGACTGGAGAGGCAGACTTGAGAAAATCCTGGGTCCACAGAGGTGGCCAAAAGGAAAAAACTCGGCCTGGAAAGACCATTGAGAGTAATGAGGTGGGACTGAAGAGCTCATTTGAAGGCAGCAGCTGGGGCTGTCGAAGCTGCTGAAAGGCAGGAGTTTTGGATTGGGAAGGCCACAGTGAGGCAAGAGCTGGGCATGGAGAGTGCGCTGTTAGGCAGAGGCTGGGCCACTACAGGCATTTGAAAGGTAAAAGCATGAGGTGGCTTGGGTCTAAAAAAAAAACACTCAAAGACAGGAGCTGGGCCTGGAGAAGCTGATGGAGAAAGTTTTTCACCTGTAGAGGCAGACGGGAGGCAGGAGCTGGGCTTGGAGAGGCCGGCTTGAGGAAGCTTTGGTCCTAAAAAGGTCAACGGGAGGCAAAAGCTAAACGTAGAGAGGCCGACATGAGGAAGTTTTGTGACAAGAGACCCACAAAAGGCTGGAGCCGAGACTGGAGACTTGAGGAAGATTTGGGCCTACGAGGCAAAAGGTGGGCATGGAGGGCCCACAAAGGCTGGCAGGAGCTGGGCAGGAGCTGAGCCCAAAGAGGTTGTTTGTTGTGAGGCAGGAGTTGGGCCTGTCGATGAAGCCAGAAGGAAGAGGAAGAGCTGGGCCTGGAGAGGCCGCCAGGAGGGAGGCAGAGGCTGGGCCTCTAGAGGCCAATGGGAGGCAGGAGCTGGCCCTGAAGGGGCCCACTTGAGGATGCATTGCACCTGGAGAGGTTGCCGGGAGGCCGGAGCTGGGCCTGGAGAGGCAGACTTCAGGACGATTTGGGCCTGCAGAGGATGCCAGGATGCCCAAGCTGGGCCTAGAGGAGCTGACTAGAGGAAGTATGGGGGCCCAGAGACACCATCAGAGGGCAGGAGTTGAGCCTGGAGAGGCCACCATGTGGCTTGAGCTGGACCCAGAGAGCTTCACTTGAAGAAGTTTTGGGCCTATAAAGGCCACCAGGAGCTGGGCAGGAGCTGAGTCCAAAGAGGTTGCTCTGAGGCAGGAGTTGGGCCTGTCGACGCAGCTGGGAAGAAGAGCTGGGCCTGGAGAGGATGCCAGGAGGCTGTAGCTGGTCCTGGAGAGGCCAACTTGAGGAGGTTCTGGGCCTGAAGAGGCCGCCAAAGGGGACAAACTGGGCCTGGAAAGACCACTGTGAGGAGTGAGCTGGGCCTAAAGAGGCCATCGGGAGGCAGGAGCTGGGCCTGTCGAAGGTGCCAGAAGGCAGGAGCTTTGGACTGGTGTGGCCACAGTGAGGCCAAGAGCTGGGCATGGAGAGTCTGCTGTGAGGCAGAGGCTGGGCCTGTATAAGGGCCCTTGGGAGGCAGGAGGCTAGGCCTGGAGAGGCCGACTGGAGGTCAAGTTCTGGGCCTGAAGAGGCTACCACAAGTCAAAAGTGGGTCCTGGGAAGGCCACAGAGAGGCATGAACTGGGCTGGGCCTAAAGAGGCGATTGGGAGGCAGGAGGAGCTGGGCCTGGAGAGGCTGACTAGAGGAAGTTGTGCACCTGGAGAGGCTGCTGAGAGGCAAGAGCTGGGCTGGGGGAGGCCGACTTGAGGACGATTTGGGCCTGCAGAGGCCACCGGGAGGCAGGAGCTGGCCCTGGAGAGGCTGACTTGAGGGCAAATTGGGCCTGCAGAGGCCACCAGGAGGAAGAGCTGGGCCTGGAGAGGCCAACTGGAGTAAGTTCAGGAACTGGAAAGGATGCAAAGGAGCAAATGCTAGGCCTGGAAAGGCCACCATTGAGACATGAGCTTGACCTACGGAGGCCACTGGGAGGCAGGAGCTGGGCCTTCAGAGGCTGTGGAAGGGCAGGAGCTTGGCCCGAGGATGCCACAGCGAGGCAAGAGGTGGGCCTGGAGGGCCTACTGCAAGGTGGAGGCTGGGCCTGGAGAGGGCGCCAACAGGCAGGGGCTGGGCCTGGAGAGGCCACGAGAGGCATGAGCTGGGCCTCAACAGGCCAGTGTGGGGGAAGACCTCAGCCCAGAGAGGCCAGTGTGAGGCAGGAGCTCACACCTCTGGGTGGGTTGCAAGAGGTATGAGTTGGGCTGAAACAGGCCGCTGTGAGGGAGGAGCTGGGCCTGTTGAGTCTGCTGGGAGGCAGGCAGGAACTTGGTCCCAGGAAGCTGCCATGAGGAAAGAGCTGGGCCTGGAGAGGCCCCTGGGAGGCAAGAGCGGGGCCTGCAGAGGTTGCACTCCAGTCAGAGCTGGGTCTGTGAAGGCCACAGGGAGGCAGAAAGTGGGCCTACAGAATTTTGGCTGGAGAAAGGTTTGGGCCTACAAAGGCTGGTGGGAGCTGGGCAGGAGCTGAGCCCAAAGAGGTTGTTTGTTGTGAGGCAGGAGTTGGGCCTGTTGACTCAGCCAGGAGGAAGAGGAAGAGCTGGGCCTGGAGAGGTTGCCAGGAGGGAGGCAGAGGCTGGGCCTCTAGAGGCCAATGGGAGGCAGGAGCTGGCCCTGAAGGGGCCCACTTGAGGATGTGTTGTGCCTGGAGAGGCTGCCGGGAGGCCAGAGATGGGCCTAGAGAGGCTGACTTCAGGATGATTTGGGCCTACAGAGGCTGCCGGGAGGCCCAAGCTGGACCTAGAGAAGCTGACTGGAGGAAGTTTGGGGGCTCGAAGACACCATCGGAGGGCAGGAGCTGAGCCTGGAGAGGCCACTGTGAGGCCTGAGCTGGGCCTGGAGAGCTTGGTTTGGGGAAGTTTTGGGCCTACAAAGGCTGCCAGGAGCTGGGCAGGAGCTGAGTCCAAAGAGGTTGCTGTGAGGCAGGAGCCAGGCCTGTAGACACAGCCGGGAGGAAGAGCTGGGCCTAGAGAGGATGCCGGGAGGCTGCAGCTGGGTCTGGAGAGGCAGACTTGAGGAGGTTCTGGGCCTGGAGATGCTGCCAAAGTGGACAAACTGGGCCTGGAAAGGCCATTGAGAGGAGTGAGCTGGGCCTAAAGAGGCCATCAGGAGGCAGGAGCTGGGCCTGTCAAAGGTGCCAGAAGGCAGGAGCTTTGGACTGGGGTGGCCGCAGTGAGGCCAAGAGCTGGGCCTGTATACAGGCCCTCGGGAGGCAGGAGGCTGGGCCTGGAGATGCCGACTGGAGGTCAAGTTCTGGGCCTGAAGAGGCCACCAAAAGTCAAAAGCAGGGCCTGGGAAGGCTGCCGAGAGGCATGAGCTGGGCTGGGCCTAAAGAGGCGATTGGGAGGCAGGAGGAGCTGGGTCTGGAGCGGCTGACTGGAGGAAGTTGTGCACCTGGAGAGGCCACTGAGAGGCAAGAGCTGGGACAGGGGAGGACAACTTGAGGACAACTTGGGCCTGCAGAGTCCACCGGGAGGCTGCAGCTGGGTCTGGGGAGGCCGACTTGAGGTGGTTCTGGGCCTGGAGAGGCCACCAAAAGGAACAAACTGTGCCTGGAAAGGCCATTGTGAGGAGTGTGCTGGGCCTAACAAGGCCATCGGGTGACAGGAACTTGTCCTGTAGAGGCTGATTTGAGGAAGTTTTGCACCTGGAGAGTTCATTGAGAGGCAAGAGCTGGGCCTGGAGAGGCAGACTTCAGGACAATTTGGGCCTGCAGCAGCCATGAGGAGACAGGAGGCTGGCCCTCGAGAGGCCGAGATGAGGACTATTTTGGCCTGCAGAGTCCGCTGGGAGGAAGAGCTGGGCCGGGAGAGGCCAACTAGAGGAAGTTCAGGGCCTGTAGAGGATGCAAAGAAGCAAACGCTAAGCTTGGAAAGGGTGTCGAGAGGCATGAGTTTGGTCTACAGAGTCCACTGCGATGCAGGAGATGAGCCTGTAGAGGCTGATTTCTGGACAATTTTGGGCTGCAGACACCGTTGGGAGGAAGAGCTTGGCCTGGACATGCTGACTGGAGGAAGTTTTGGGCCTGGAGTGGATGTCAAAAAGCAAAATCTTGGCGAGAAAAGACCACCAGGAGGCCCGAGCCTTGCCTATAAAGGACATTGAGAGGGAGGAGCTGGGCCTGTAAAGGCTGCTGAAAGGCAGGAGTTTGGCATGAGGAGGCCATGATGAGGCAAGTTGTGGGCCTTGAGGGTCTACTGTGAGGTAGAGTGTGGGCCTGTGTAGGCCGATGTGAGGCAAGAGTTGGGCTGGGAGGAGCCGTCTTTTGAACAATTTGGGCCTACAGAGGCTGCCAGGAAGCAAGAGCTGTGCCTGGAGATTCCTCCTCTTGGCATGAGCTGGGCCTATAGGAGCCATTGTGAGGCAGCACCTGGACTTGTCGAGACTGCTGGGAGGCAGGCCGATTTGTGGCCTGGGGAGGTCACCGTGAGGCAAAGGCTCTTTTTGGAGGATGCCATGAGGCAGACAGAAACTCGGCTTTTGGAGGCCACCGTGAGCGAATAGCTGGACCTGTAGAGGCTGCCGGGAGGCTGAAGGTGGGCCTGGAAAGCCTGACTTTAAGAATTCTGTGGCCTAAACAGGCTGCCAGCAACTCGGCAGGAGTTGGGCCAAAGGAGGTTGTTGTGAGGCAGGAAATGGGCCCGTAGACACAGCCGGGAGGATGAGCTCATCCTGGAGATGCTGAATTGAGGACATTCTAGGCCTGGAGAGGCTGCAAAAGGTAAAATCTGTGCCTGGAAAAGTCACCCTGGGGCATGAGCTTGGCCTAAAGAGGCCATTTTGAGGCAGGAGCTGGGTCTGTAGAGGTTGCTGAAAGGCAGCTGCTTGGCCTGAGGATGCTACAGTGAGACATGAGCTGGGTTTGGAGGTTCCACTGTGAGGTAGAGGCTGGGCCTGTAGAGGCCAACAGTAGGCAGGAGCTGGGCCTGAAACTGCTGATTTGAGTAAGTTTGCAGCTCTGAGAGTATGCCAGGAGGCAGGAACTGGACCTGGATAGGCAATGACCGGCATGAGTTGGGCCTAAACAGCCCAGTGTGAGGGAGGACCTGTGCCTGTCGAGGCTGCTGCCAGGCAGGCAGAAACTTGGCCTAGGGCAGCTGCCATGAGGAAAGAGCTGTGCCTGGAGAGGCCCCTGTGATGCAAGAGCAGGGCCTGCAGAGGTTGTTCTCAAGTCAAAGCTGGGCCTGTACATGCCACCAGGAAGTAGAAGGTGGGTCTGGAGAGTTTGACATGAGGAAGTTTTGGGCCTATGGCAGCCGCCGTGGGCTGTGCAGGAACTGGGCCAAAAGAGGTTGTTGTGAGGCAACAGTTGTGCCTGTAAACTCAGCCAGGAGGAAGAGCTGGGCCTGGAGAAGCCACCATGAGGCAGAGGCTGGGCCTGTAGAGGCCAATAGAAGGCAGGAACTGGGCCTGGAGAGGCCAACTTGAGGAGTTTTGGGCCTTCAGAGGCTGCCAAGGGGGGCAGTAGTTGGGACTAGAGAGGCTGAATTTAGGAAGTTGTGGGCCTGGAGATGACATCCTAGGACTGGAACTGGGCCTGGAGAGGCCACCATGAGGCATGAGCTGGGTGTAGAGAGGCCAGTGTGAGGTAGGACCTGGGCCTGTCCAGGCTGCTGGGAGACAGGTAGGAACCTGGCCAGGGAAGGCTGCCATGAGACAAAAGTTGGGCCTGGTAAGGTCCTTGTGGTGCATGAGCTTGGCCTAAAGAGGCCACTGAGTGGCAGGAGCTGGGCCTGTAGAGGCTGCTGAAACACTGTAGCTTGGCTTGGGGGGGACACGGTGAGGTAGATAGTGGGCCTGAAGAATCTGCTGTGAGGTCGATGTTGGGCCTGTAGAGGCCAACAGAAGGCAGGAGCTGGGCCTGGAGAGGCCACCAAGATGCAGGAGCTGGGCCTGGAGAGGCTGCCAAGAAGCAAGAGCTGGGCCTAAATAAGCCAGTGTGAGGCAAGAGATCAGCCTGGAGAGGCCGACTTGAGGAAGATTTTGGCCTGGAGAGCCTGTCAAAGGCAGGAGCTGGGCCTGGAGAGGCCACCATGAGGCATGAGCTGGGCCTAATTGAAGACAGTGTGAGGCAGGAACTGGGCCTGTTGAGGATGCTGGGAGGCAGGCAGGAACTTGGCCAGAGATGACCTCCATGAGGCAAGAGCTGAGCCTGTAGAGGCTGCTGTCATGCAGGAGGTGGACCTGTTCAGGCCACCGGGAGACAGAAGGTTGTGCTAGAGAACTTGATGTGAGGAAATTTTGGGCTTACAAAGGCCGCCAGGAGCTGGGCAGGAGCTGAGTGGAAAGAGGTTGTTGTGAGGCAGGAGGTGGACCTGGAGATGCAGCCAGGAGGAAGAGCTGGGCCTGGAGAGTCCCACTTGAGGAAGTTCTGGGCCTGGAGAGGCTGCTAAAAGGCAAAAGCTGGGCCAGAATGGCCATGTGAGGCATGAACTTGGTATAAAGAGGTCATTGGGAGGCAGGAGCTGGGCCTGTTGAGGCTGCTGAAAGGCAGCAGATTGGCCTGCAGGGCTGCGGTGAGGCACAGGCTGGGCCTCGAGAGTCTGCTGTGAGGCAGAGTTGAACCTGTAGAGGCCGATGGGAGGCAGGAGTTGGGCCTGGAATGGCGGACTTGAGAAAGTTCTTGGTCTGGAGAGGCCGCTGAGATGCAGGAACTGGGCCTGGAGAGGCCACTGAGAGGCATGAGCTGTGCCTAAAGAGGCCAGTGTTCAGCAGGAGTTGTGCCTGAAGAGGCTGACTTGAGGAAGTTTTGGGCATGGACAGCTGTGGGGGGGCAGGAGCTAGGCCTGGAAAGGCCACCGTGAGGCATAAGCTGGGCCTAATGATGTTAGTGTGAGGTAGGATCTGGGCCTGTCAAGGCTGCTGGGAGGCAGGTAGGAAATTGTTCGGGGAAGACATCCATGAGGCAAAAGCTGGGCCTGGAGAGTCTGCTGGGAGGCAAGAGCTGGGCCTGGAGAGGCCGTTGTCACGCAGGAGCTGGGCCTGTCCGGGATATTGGGAGGCAGAAAGTGGGCCTGGAAAGCTTGACTTGAGGCAGTTTTGGGCCTACAAAGGCCACTAGGAGCTGGGCAGGAGCTGAGCCAAAAGAGGTTATTGTGAGGCAGAAGTTGGGCCCCCAGTCACAGCCAGAAGAAAGAGCTTGGCCTGTAGAGGCCACCTGGAAGCAGCAGCTGGGCCTGGAGAGGCTGACAGAAGGCAGGAGTTGGGCCTTGAGAGGTTGACTTGTGGACATTTTGGGCCTGGATAGGCCACCCAGAGGCAGGAGCTGGGACTAAACAGGCTGTTGTAAGGCAGGAGCTGGGCCTGTACAGGCTGTTGGGAGGCAGAAGGTGGGCCTCAAGAAGAGCTGGCCTGTACAGACTGGTGGGAGGCAGAAGGTGCACCTCAAGAGGAGGAGCTGGGTCTTGGAAGGTGGCCATGAGGCAAAAGCCAGCCCTTGGGAGGCCGATGAGAGGCAGGAGCTGGGGTCAACTTGAGAAAGCTCTGGGCCTGGAGAGAAGGCTGGGAGGCAGGAGCTGGGCCAAAAGAGGCTGTTGTAATGATGGAGTTGGGCCTGTGGAGGCTGCCGTGATACAGTAGCCTCATCTGCGGAGACTGTCATGAGGTAGGGTATGGGCCTAAATAGGCCATTGGGAGCCATGAGCTTGGTCTGTAGAGGCCAATTGGAGAAAGTTCTGGGCCTGAAGAGGCTGCTGGGAGGCGGGAGCTGGACCAAAAGATTCAAGCACATTACATTTATTAGGTACTTTATTTCCACTATTCTGTTGTAAGATATAATGAAATATAGAATTCATCATAATGTAGAATCAGTGGGCGTGTTAACCTTGTTTTCCTGTGACTAGATGGTCCCATCCTCTGAGCGTGATGGGAGAAAGTGATAATCAGGCATTAGATTCTCATAGGGACAGCGCAACCTAGATCCCTCACATGTACGGTTCGCAATAGGGTATGAGCTCCTGTGAGAATCTAATGGTGCTGCTGATCTGAGAGAAGGTGGAGCTCAGGCAGGAATGTGAGCAAATGGGAGTGGCTGTAAATACAGATGAAACTTCCCTCACTCGACACCACTCACCTCCTGCTGTGTGGCTCCTTACATCTCCATGGCTCAGGGGTTGGGGACCCCTGCTCAAGTGCATCCAAAAGGACCCTTCCCACACCAGTCTTCATAGTGGTCAAGTGCAGCAACCACTTAACTCCCAAGGCTTGTGACTCAGCTGGCATTTCATCACTATCAACAGTAAGTGGTAGCTTGAGTCATTGTGAAGTCACTACCTGGAAATCACCAGCATCTCATTTCCCATTGGCAAGGAGCTCAGCACTGCCCCTTGGATAACCAAGCCTATGCCCAAATCCTATCTGTGTGGGTTTATCTCCTGGGACCCTTCCTAGCATATTAGTCAGAGTCCAATCAGGAGACATAAACCACTCAAAAGTTTAAAGTGGTAAAATTTAATACAGAGAATTATTCATTATAACAGGGGAACAGCATAATGAGAGACTGGCTAGCACAAAGTAAAGAGAACTCTAGAGAATATAGGACTAGCCCAGGCCAGGCATTGTGGCTCATGCCTGAAATTCCTGCAATTTCAGAAGCCAACGCAGGAGGATTGCTTGAGGCCAGGAGCTAGAGACCGGCCTGGACAACACAGCAAGACCCTGTCTCTATCCAAAAAAAAGAAAAAAAAATTAGCTGGGAGTGGTGGTGCACACTTGTAGTCCCAGCTACTCGGGAAGCTGATGTGGGAGGGTAGTTTGAGCCTGGGAGGTCAAGGCTGCAGTGAGTGATGATTATGCCATTACAGTCATCAAGCCTGGGTGACAGAGCAAGACCCCATCTCAAAGAACAAAACAACAACAACAAAACAACAACAACCATTTACAGACAGAAAAGAAATAGAGATAATAAGCTAAGGAAAGATGTTGAAATGTGACAGATAAAGTAATATGAGGTCTTTTATCTATTTAAAATAATGAAAAAAGTATTAAATTATAATACCCTGTGCTGGCAAAGGTGCAGTGAAATGGACACTTTCTTATACTATGAGTGGTGTTTAAATTGTACATAAGCCTTCCAGGGTAAAGCTTGGCAATTTTTTTAAATAATAGAGACACAATCTCACCTACTGCGTCCTCCAACTCTTGGCCTCAAGCAATCCTCCTGCCTTAGCTTCCAAAGGGCTGGGATTATAGCTGAGAGGCACCCAAAACCTTGACCATTTACATCAAGGGCAATGAGAATGTCCATTCACCATGACTCACAGTAATCTTACTTCTGGAAATACCTTGGGGAGACAATTCAATCTAAACAAAATGTCAACTGTACAAACACAGTGAAAATCTAGGAGTAATTGAAGACAGAGTAGTTAAGTGAAATAAGAAACAGTTATAAGAAATTAAACTATGATATTTATAGGCACCTGGTAAAAGGTCACTTGATGTTACCTGGTACTTTTTTAAGACAGGGTCTCACTCTGCCACCCAGGCTGGAGTGCAGAGGCCTGATCATGACTCACTGCAGTCTCAGCTTCCCTGAGCTCAAGTGATCCTCCTACCTCAGTCTCCCAAGTAGCTGGGACTATAGGAACACATCACCACACTAGGCTAATTCATGTATTTTTCTGCAGGGATGGTGACTCCCTTTGTTTCCATGACCTGTCTCAAACTCTTGGCCTCAAGCCATCCTCCTGCCTCAGCCTCCTAAAGTGTTGTGATTAATGGTGTGAACCACCACACTTGGCCAGCTGCTACTTTTATCAACATTATTATTATTCCACTCTATTAAAAATTATCTGTCATTACAAATTATTATTTTAAAGGCTATGGAAAAATATGTGTCCTACAGCATAATTGTAAAAACACATACAGTCATCCCTTGCTATACAGAGAGGATTAGTTCCAGCCACCTATCTCTGCATATACCAAAATCCATGCATACTCACATTTTGCAGTCACCCCTTTGGAACCCACATATAGGAAAAATCCAAATATGAGTTGGGTATAGCGGCAAGCACCTATAGTCTCAGCCACTTCGGGGGCTGAGGTGGGAGAATAGCTTGAGCCTGGGAGGTTGAGATCGCAGTAAGCTGTGATAGCACCACTACACTCCACCCTGGACAACAGAGCAAGACTTTGTCTTGGAAACAAACAAACAAACAAACAAACAAAAAAGTTAGAAATTCTAATGAGGTCTGTTGGGCTAAATTCCATATAAGCAAAGTATGTATTAATGAAGCAAATCATGATAAATTAGTACAACAGACTTTCTAGAGTCTCTGACAATAAAGGTAAGAAAAATGCAAAACACAGAGATATATGGTAAAAAAAGAAATTAGGGAAGCATTCTATATGTTTAATAAGAAGACGCTGGCCATGTTTGTGCAGCAGCAGTTTGTCACGATATGACACACCTTGGAGAGAAGTTAACAGATGAGGAAGTTGATAAAAATGATCAGAGAAGCAAAATACTGATAGCGATAGTGAAGTAAACCACAAAGAATTTCCATAACTGATGTCAGCAAAGTGGGAATATTGTACAGTGTGCGTTGAAGTTCCTATACAACATTGTTTATTTGCCTTTTGTTTGTTTGTAAGGAACATATATACTAAAAGTTCCTCTTGCTGTCGAAAGAATATGTGTGAATAAGTTATTTGAACTTACTTTTCTGTTTTTCTACTTTTCCTGCCATCATCCCACAGCTTTTAGAAATTTTTTATTTTTTTAGAAAATTGAACAAGTGCTCGTTGTGGTGGCTCATACCTCTAGGATGGGAGGCAGAGTTGGAAGGGTCACCTGAGGCCAAGAGTTTGACACCAGCCTGACCAATAAAGTGAGACCCCATGTCTACAAAATAATTTAAAAATTAGCCAGGTGTCATCATGTATACCTACAGTCCCAGCTACTCGGGAGGATGAGGCAGGAGGATCCTTAGCCCAGCAGTTCAAGGCTGCAGTGAGCTGTGATGGCACCACTGCACTCCAGCCTGGGTGACAGGGTGAGACGCCATCTCCTAAAAGAAAAAAGAAAGAAAATAGATTAAGTAACAAGTTGTATGTGGCTTACTCTGAATATTTCTAAACTAGAAGTTCTCAGTCTTTTGGGGTCTATCTTTTGGGGTCTAGCACCCCTTTACATTTTTTAACTTTATTGAAGATCCCTAAGACTGTTTCTTTATACAAATGTATTAAAATTAGAAAATATGACAAAATTTTAAAAATATTATAAATTTTATAAATATTATAAAACCATTACATGTTGATATAATACAAAATTTTAAAAGTATTTAATATTCATTACATACTAATAATAAAATCATTACGTTAATACTTTTTTTTTTGAGACGGAGTCTCGCTCTTTCCCCAGGCTGGAGTGAAGTGGCACAATCTCGGCTCTCTGCAACCTCCGCCCCCTGGGCTCAAGTGATTCTCCTGCCTCTGCCACCCAAGTAGCTGGGATTACAGGTGCCCACCACCATGCCCGGCTAATTTTTGTATTTTTTTTTTAGTAGAAATGGGGTTTCACCATGTTGGCCAGGCTGGTCTAGAACCCTTGACCTCAGGTGATCCACCCACTTGGGTCTCCCAAAGTACCGGGATTACAGGCATAAGCCACCACACCCACCCCAATTAATACATTTTTAGAAACACCAATTAGTCAGGCAACAACACTGGGCAGGGGTCTCCTCATTCCCAGAGACACAAACCCTACTCCATGGCTCCAGGGTTGCAACGGCTGCAGAGACAAAAGGCTCTGACTTCAGATTTCATTTTTTTACTTGTATTTCTATTTGTACTGTGAGACAGGTCCTGCTCTGTCCTCCAGGCTGGAGTGCAGTTGTGTACTTATAGCTCACTGCAGCCTCAATCTCCTGGGCTCAAGCCATCTTCCTGTCTCAGCTCCCCAGTAGCTGGTACTACAGTTGAGTGCCACCATACCTGGCTATTTTTTAAATTTTTTGTAGAGTGAGTGGTCTTGCTATATTGCCCAAGCTGGCCTCAAACTCTTGACCTCAAGAGATCTGCCCATCTCACCCTCCTGAGTAGCTGGGACTACAAGTACACATCACCATGCTAGCTACATTTATTTTATTAAATTTTGAAAAACATTTTTGTAGAGAGGAGGTCTTGCTATGTTGTCCATGCTTGTCTTGAACTCCAGCTCTTAAAATAAACTCCCATCTCTGCTTCCCAAACAACTGGGACTACAGGCATGAGCCACTGCACTGAGAATGAAGAGATTTCTTTAATCTAGCATCCCATACTCGGTAGGATTGAGAAAGGCAGTAGTGTTTTTTAAAATTACTTAATAATTCAGTAAGAATCAAACTCAACCTTGACCTCTGCCTTCTCTCACACCTCACATCCAGTCTGTCAGGAAATCCTGTTGACTGTCTTCAACATGTACTGAAGATCCCCCCCAGCAACTCCCTGGCCTTCTCCCCTACTTCTCTCCTCTGACCATCTCTCACCACCACCATGACCCTAGTCAGGACCACTATCATCTCCCACCTGGATGTTGTCACAGCTTGGCCCCCATGCTTCTACCCAAATCTTCCCACAGTCTTTCTCAACTCAGCAGCCAGAGAATGCTTTTAAATCGGGAGACAGATCATGTCACCTCTCTGCTCAGAACCCTCCCACAGTTCCCATCTCAGTCAGAGTAAAAGCCAAAGCCCCAGCAATAACCTCCCAGGGCTTATGCGATGTGTACTGATTCCGTCCTCTAATTCTCTCCCTCTATCCTTCTGCTCCACTGGCCTCCTTCCAGAGCCTCAGACACACCTCAGACACTTTATTCTGTTGTTTCTGCCTATAATCCTCTTCCCTCAGCACCTTGGCCAACTCCTTCCCCTCCTTCAAGTCTTTGCTCAATTTTCACTTAGGAGGTGACCCCTGACCATTCTATTTAACATTGCCATCTGTCCCCATGCCTACCATGCTCATGTCTTCTTTTTCTTTATTTTTTTTTGTTTCTTTCTCTTTCTTTTTCTTTCTTTCTGTCTGTTGGTCTCTCTCTCTCATTCTTTCTGTCTTTCACAAGATCTCACTCTGTCACCAAGACTGGAGTGCAGTGGCACAATCACAGCTCACTGTAACCTCAAATTCCCAGGCTCAAGTGGTCCTCCCACCTCAGCCTCCCTAGTAGCTGGGACTACAAGTGCATGCTATCATTCCTGGCTCATTATTTTAGTATTTTATTTTTTTATTTTATTTTATTTTAATTTTGAGATGGAGCTTCACTCTTCTTGCCCAGGCTGGAGTGCAATGGTGCAATCCCAGCTTACTGCAACCTCCATCTCCTGGATTCAAGTGATTCTCCTGCCTCAGCCTCCCAAGTAGCTGGAATTACAGGTGTGTGTCACCACGACTGGCTAGTTTTTGTATATCTAGTAGAGACAAGGTTTCACAATGTTGGCCAGGCTGCTCTCAAACTCCTGACCTCAGGGGTGATCCACCCACCTTGGCCTCCCAAAGTGCTGAAATTTCAGGCATGAGCCACCGTGCCCAGCCAATTTTTTTATTTTTCATACAGACAAGGTCTCTCCATGTTGCCCAGGCTGGTCTTGAACTCCTGGCCTCAAGTGATCCTCCTGTCTAAATTCCTGAAGTGCTGGGATTACTGGCATTAGCCACCATAACTGGCTACGTGTTCATTTTTTCTTGCTGCTGCAACAGTTTGTAGTTTCCTATATTTAGTGGCTTAAAACACCACAAATCTACCATCTTACAGTTCTGGGGGCCAGAAGCCCAAAATAGGTCTATTAAGGCTAAAGTCAAGGTGTCAGCAGGGCTGCATTCCTTCTGGAGACTCTAAAGTCTTCCCTTAGCTTTTCCAGCTTCTAGAAGCCACCCACATTCTTGGATCATGGCCCCTGACTCCATCTTCAAAGCCAGAAGTGATGCATCTTCAAATCTCCCTCTCTGACCTCTGCTTCCATCACCACATCTCCTGCTCCAATTCTGATTCTCTGACCCTCTTTCTTTTATAAAGATCCTTGTGATTGCTGGGCATGGTGGCTCCCACCCATAATCCCAACACTGGGAGGTCAAGACAGGAGAAACACTTGAAGCCCAAAGTTTGAAACTAGCCTGAACAACATAGTGAGACCCCACCTCTAGAAAAAAAATAAGAATAAATATTAGCCGGACATGGTGGTGTGCATCTGTAGTTCCAGCTACTTGAGAGGCTGAGGTGAGATGATCACTTTAGCCCAGGAGTTTGAGATCAGCCTGGGCGACATAACTAAATCTCATCTCTATGAAAATGAGCTGGTCATGGGTAACATGCATGTGTAGTCCCAGCTACTTGGGAGGCTGAGGTGGGAGAATGGCTTGATCTCAGGAGGTCAAAGCTATAGTGAGCTATGACCTCCTGAGATCATATGACCTCCTGGATGACACAGGGAGATTCTGTCTCAAAAAAAGAAAAGAAAAGAAATACATATTTAATCTCTGTCCCTGGTTCCTGGCACAGAGCTTCTAAAGCTCTTACAAAGACCTCAGTGATAGACATGATAGGAGCATCTTTTGTTTTTAATATTTAATCTTGGTCCCAGGTTTCTAACACAAGAGCCTCTAAGAACTTTGGGGGCAACCACATGATTAGATGCTTGGAACTTTCAGCCTTATGCACTGAACTCCAGGAGGAAGAGAGGCTGAAGATTGACTTAATCACCAATGGCCAAAGATGTTATCAATCATCATGCTTGCATAATACAGCCTCCATAAACACCCTGAATGGGGTTTGCAGAGCTTCTGGGCTTGCTGAACACAGGAGATGCTGGGAAGGTGGCATGTTCAACAGAGGGCATGGGAGATCTGTGCCCCTCCTAACTTACCTTGCCCTGGGCATCTTTCTTTTCTTTTGAGACAGGGTCTGGCTCTTTTGTCCAGGCTGGAGTGCAGTAGCACAATCTCAGCTCACTGCAACCTAAGCCTCCCCAGTCCCCAGCTCAAGGCATCCTCTCGGCTCAGCTTTCCTAGTAGCTGGAATAATAGGTGCACAACATTGCACCTGGTTATTTATTTTTATTTTTTTTTAAATTTTTTGTAGAGACAGGTTTTCACCATGTTTCCCAGGCTGGTCTCAAACTCCTGAGTTTAAGTAATCCCCTCACCTTGGCCTCCCAAAGTGCTGGAATTACAGGCATGAACCACCACATTCAGCAAGTATGTGTCTTTCATTGACTATTTCTGAGATGTATCCTTTACAATGAACCAGTAATAAGAAATGAACGGCCAGATACGGTGGCTCACATCTGTAATCCCAGCACTTTAAGAGGCTGAGGTGGGAGGATCACTTGAGCCCAGGAATTTGTGGCCAGACTGGGCAACACAACAAGACCCCATCTCTACAAAAAATAAAAGAAATTAGCCAGATGTGGTGGTAGAGGCATGTAGTCTCAGCTACTAGGGAAGCTGAGGTGGGAGGACCACTGGAGCCCAGACAGTTGATGCTGCAGTGAGCTATAACTTCACCATTGCACACCCAGCCTGTGCAACAAAATGAGAACCTGTCTCTCAGAGAAAAAGAAAATAAACTGTTGTTCTGAGTTCTGTAAACTGTTCTAGCAAATTATTAAACCCAAGAAGAGGGTCATGGGAACCCCTGATTTGTAACAGGTTGGTCAAAAGTACAGGTGACAACCTAGGACTTGCCATTGGCATCTGAAGTGAGGATAGTCTTATGAGACTGAGCTCCTAGCCTGTGGGGTCTGTGTTAACTCTAGGTAGTGTCAGAATAAAATTGTGGAATACCCAGTTAATATCCAGAACACTGGAGAATTCGGTACACACGTTCAATCAGAAATGTGTAAGTAGAGACAAACATGGACTTTTCTTTCACCTGTCTACCTGCTTAACTGCATAGGAGAGGCAATATGTGGTGCTCATGAACAAAGCAAGCATTGAAGTCAGAAGAGATCCACCATTTGACTCAGTCATAATATCCAAGTGAGCTTGCGCAAATCACTCATTATCCCTAAGTCTTCATCATTTCATTCATAAAATGGGGATAACTGTGGCACCTACCTGTGATTTTGTGAGAATTAATAAGATATTACGCTTGGTGTTATTGTGATCATTATACCTATTCTAAATCATTTGACAAGGACAGTGATGGATGATAACATCAAAAGATTAGAAACTGTAGTGGGGTCTCTCAGGCAAAATTCCATACAAGCAAATTACTGTCTCTACAAAGCATTCCTGTCAAACTTAATTCACCATTTCCTGAAAAAAAGTGCCATCTTCATTGTTCAGGTCTTTACAGTGCTGGTTTCCCTGCCTGGGCAGCTCACTCCATCCCATCCCTCCACTTCCCCCTTCCCTCCCCACTCTCATACCCACTCTTATACAACTCTTCCTCACCTTTCAGGACTTGGCTTCAAAGGTCACCTTAACTAGAAGCTTCTCTCACACTCCAGAAAAGCTTCCCATTGCATATGATGCATGCACTATTATTTGATCATTTTTGAGTCATATTCCAAGCCTTTTTGTACCTGAATAACATGTTGCCCAGTCAGTCTCTCTTCCTGGACTCTGAAGTCTTTCATGGTAGATCCAGCTGAGAGTGACAAAAAGACATTCTTTTGAAATAGAGGGATGACACAGACAGACATACGTTCTTAAACGTTTTAAATGGTATGTGAAAATTTAACAAAATTAAAAGGCTTGGGGGAACACTTAGGAGGGAAAGTTACTGGGAATGTCATAAAGGATTAATTTGTATTTTATTTTATTTTATTTTAATTTTTTGAGACAGAGTCTCATTCTGTCACCTAGGCTGGAGTGCAGTGGTGCAATCAGGGCTCACTGCAGCGTCAACCACCTGGGCTCAGGTAATCTCACTTAATTTTTATTTGGTTTAAAAAATTCAGTCTTGGTTGAGCATGGTGGCTTATGCCTATAATCTCAACACTTTGGGAGGCTGAGAGGGATATATTACTCGATGCTAGCAGTTTGAGATCAGCCTGGGCAACATATTAAGGCCCTGTCTCTACCAAAAAAAAAAAAAAAACTGAGTGACTGTGTGGAAGACAATTTTTCCACAGACTGGGGGTGAAGGAAATGATTTCAGGACGATTCAAGTACATTACATATATTGTGTACTTTATTTCTATTATTACTACACTGTAATATATAATGAAATAATTCTACAACTCACTATAATGCAGACTCAGTGGGATCTCTGAGCTTGTTTTCCTGCAGCTAGACTGTCCATCTAGGGTGATGGGAGACAGTGACAGATCATCAGGCATTAGATTCTCATAAGGAGAGTGAAACCTAGATCCCTCACATGCACATAACAGGGTTCATGCTCCTAGGAGAATCTAATGCTGCTGCTGATCTGACAGGACATGGTGCTTAGGTGGTCATGCAAGTGATGGGAGGGCTAGAAATACAGAAGAAGTTTCCCCTCATTCACCTGTTGCTCACCTCCGGCTCTGTGACCCTGTGGTTGGAGTTCCCTGCTCAAGTGCATTCAAAAGGATCCATCCCATGCCATTCTTCAGAGTCATCTTGACTGCCACAGTGGTCAAGTGTAGCAACTCTAAGCTCACAGGGCTTATGCCTCACCTGGCATTTCATCACAATCAACAGTAAGTGATAGCTTGAGTCATTGTGAGGTCACTTCCTGGAAATTACCAGCATCCCATGTCCCATTGACAAGGAGCTTAGCACTGCTCCTTGGATAACCGAACCTATGCCCAAATTCCATCTGTGTGGGTCTATCTCCTGGGACCCTTCCTAGCATAAATTCTGTATTTGTAGGAGTCCAATCAGGAGACACAAACCACTCAAAAGTTTAAACTAGAATGAGCAAAGTGGCTCACACTTGTCATCCCAGCACTTTGGGAGGCCAACGCGGGTGGATCACTTTGAGCTCAGGAGTTTGAGACCAGCTTGGGAAACATGGTGAAACCCCATTTCTACAAAAAAACACAAAAATTAGCCAGGTGTGGTGGTACATATCTATAGTCCCACCTACTCGGGAGGCTGAGGCAGGAGAACTTCTTGAGCCTGGCAGGTGGAGGTTGCAGTGAGCAGAGATTGTGCCACTGCACTCCAGCCTGGCTGACAGCATGAGACCTGGTATCCAAAAATAAAAAAAAAGAAAAAAGAAAGAAAAAATATATATGTAAATTTAATATAAAAAGTATTAATTTTGGCCAGGTGCGGTGGCTCATGTCTGTAATCCCAGCGCTTTGGGAAGTAGAGGTGGGTGGATCACCTGAGGTCAGGAGTTCGAGACCAGCCTGACCAACATGGAGAAACCACGTCTCTACTAAAAACACAAAATTAGCTGGGCGTGATGGCACATACCTGTAATCCCAGCTACTCGGGTGGCTGAGGCAGGAGAATCGCTTGAACCCAGCAGGTGGAGGTTGCGGTGAGCCAAGATCGTGCGATTGCACTTCAGCCTGGGCAACGAGTGAAACTCCATCTCAAAAAAAAGTATTAATTTTAACAGAGGATCAGCATAATGAGGGACACACTAGCACAAAGTAAAGACAACTCTAGAGAATACAGAACTAGCAGAGGCCAGGCATGGTGTCTCATGCCTGTAATCCCAGCAATTTGGGAAGCCTAGGCAGGAGGATCGCTTGAGGCCAGGAGTTGGAGACCAGTCTGAGCAACATAGTGAGACCCTGTGTCTACCAAAAAAAGAAAAAAAATTTAGCCAGGTGTGGTGGTGGTGCACATCTGTAGTTCCAGCTACTTGGGCATCTAGGGTGGAAGGATCCCTTGAGTCTGGGAAGTCTAGGCTACAGTGAGCCAAAATCATGCCACTGCACTCCAGCTTGGGTGACAGAGACCCTGTCTTAGAAAGAAAAAGAAAAGAAAAGAAAGTGCTAATCCCCCTATGGGGATCTCCTCTTCTCCTCCCCTCTCTGGAACCTCACTTGTCAGTTCTTCCTCCCACTTCCCTGTATCTTTAAACTATCCCCTGCTTTTAGCCCCTTCCCACTATCATTTAAATTACTCAAACTTCTTCTATTTTAAAAACCTCTCCCTAAACTCAGTGTGTCCCCTGCTTTAGGTCCCAGCACACCCACTGAGCCATCTGCTCCCCCTGGTGCCTTCTCCACACAGCAGCCTGAGCCATGTCTCTAATCCATTAATCTCATCACGTTACTCCAAAGTTTACATCACTTCTCCTTGTCTTGGGGATTAAATCCAAACTTCTTAACAGCCCCTGTTCTGCCCTGCCTTGCAAGGCAGCCTCACTGCTTGCCCCTCTCCATTTTACCTGCTGTGGAGTCCAACTGAGCCTCATGTGCCCCATGAATCAGGCATTAGATTCTCATAATGAGCTGAATCCTGCTCTTATGAAATCCACACTCTTTCTCCTCTGGGAGTCTCTGAAGTGAGTGATACCCTCTGCTTAGAATACACTTCCCCTTAAACCTCTACTCTCTTCCTGGATAGCTTTGGGTCCTCTGTCACTTGTCTGCTTTGGCATCACCCCCTCCTGGAAGCCTTCCTTGACTCTCCAGATTCTCAGGAGCATGAGAGGTGAGGTGCTCCTCCCATGAATGGATGGAGATTAGGGATTATGGGTTATTCATGTTTAATTCAACAGTTCTTAGCTCAGTACCTGGCACAAAACAGTTACTGTGGTGGCCAAAGTAATGACCCCACCCCCCACCCCCCACCAATTGCTCATGTCCTATGTTACACAGCACAATTACATAGGAAGGGGGAATTAAGAGTACAGAAGGAATTAATGTTGCTAATCAGCTGATCTTAAAACAAGATTATCCTGGAGTATCTGGAAGAGCCCATGTAATATCAAGCTTTCTTTAAATGTGGAAGAGGGAGGCAGAAGGTTAAGAACCAGAGACGGCGGGTACAATGGCTCATGCCTGTAATACCAACACTTTTGGAGGCCAAGGCAGGAAATTCCCCTGAGTGCAGGAGTTCAAGGCCAGCCCTGACAATATAGTGAGGCCCCATGTCTACCAAAAAAAAAAAAAAAGAAAAATTCACTGAGTGTCACGGTGCTTACCTGTAGTCCCAGCTATTGGGAAGGTTGAAGTGGTAGGATCACTTGAGCCTGGGAGTTTGAGGCTACAATGAGCCATGATAGGACCACTGAACTCCATCCTGAGTGACACAGCAAGGTCCTGTTTCTAAAAGAAACCAGGACATTGGAATCAGGATTCCCTCCATACTAAGGTGCCTACAAAGCATCTCTCTCTGCAAATGAGTAAACATCATCCCCTAACTCCTCACAGAGTGGAGCAGCAGGAAAACTCCCTCACCTCATTTCTGTGTGGCTTGGGAGGCCTGGACAGCCCAATAACCAGTTCCTTGCTGATGAAGCAATCGGGAAATGGCTCGAGTTGAGCTAAGGAGAATTTGGATCCTCCTTTCGGTTCTCAAATAGGCAGGGTAGGGGCCAGGCATGGTGGCTCATACCTCTAATCCTTGCACTTTGGGAGGCCAAGGTGAGAGGATTGCTTGAGGCCAGGAGCTCAAGACCAGCCTGGGCAACATAGCAAGACCCAGGTGGCATGCCCCTGTGGTCCCTGCTACTTGGTAGGATGAGGTGGGAGGATTGATCACTGGATCCCAGGAGTTTCAGGCTTCAGTGAGCCATGATCACACCACTGCACTCCAGCCTGGGTGACAGAGACAGAACATGTCTCAAAAGCTTTAAAAAAAAAAAAAAAAACAAGAGAGACCATAGGCAGGCATCACCACATCTGGCTAATATTTCAATATTCTGTAGAGATGAAGTCTTGCTAAGTTGCCAAGGCTGGTCTAAAACTCCTGGCATCAGGCTGGGGATGAGGGCTCATGACTGTAATCCCAGCACTTTGGGAGGTCAAGGCAGGCAGATCACCTGAGGACAGGAGTTTCAGACCAGTCTGACCAACATGGTGAAACCCCATGTGCACTGAAAGTACAATAATTAGCTAGGCAGTAGTGGCATGTGCCTGTAATCTCAGCTACTCAGGAGGCTGAGGCAGAAGATTCACTTGAACCTGGGAGGCAGAGGTTGCAGTGAGCCCAGATTGTGCCACTGCACTCTACCCTGGGCGACAGAGTGAGACTCTGTCTCAAAAAACAAAAAAACAAAAAAAAAAAACAAAAAACTCCTGGCATCAAGAGATCTTCCTATCTCACCCTCCCAATGTCCTGGGATTATATTTTTGTTTAGAATAATTGAAGACACTTGTTCTTATACTGCTTTAAGGTATAAAGAAAACAAAAAGATAACAAATGGTGAAGGCCGGGCACAGTGGCTCAGCCTAGTTTCCAGAACTTTGGGAGGGTGAGGTGGACAGATCACTTGAGGCCAGGAGTATGAGACCAGCCTAGCCAACATTGTAAAACCCATGAGTACAAAAAAGTAAAAAAATTAGCCAGGCATGGTGGCATGCACCTGTAATTCCCAGCTACTCAGGAGGCTGACGTGAGAGAATCACTTGTGCCTGGGAGGTCAAGGCTATAGTGAACTGTGATGGCATCACTGTGCTGCAGCCTGAGAGACAGAGCAAGCCCCTATCTAGAAAAAAAAATAATGTCAGTGAAGATGTGGAGGAATTGGAACCCACATACATTACTGGTGGGAACATAAAATCGTGTAACCACTTTGGGTATTTCTTTTCTTGTCATTTTTATTGGATTTTTTTAAATCAAGACAGAGTGTCATTATCTTGCCCAGGCTGGTATTGAACTCATGGGTTCAAGCCATCCTCCCAACTAAGCCTCCTGAGTAGCTGGGATTACAGGTGTGAACCATCACACCCAACTGGTGTAGCCACTTTAGAAAACAGTCTGGCAGTTTCTCAAAAGTCTAAATGTACAGTCATTATATAATGCAACAATTTCACTCCAAGACATATATCCCAGAGAAATAAAAATATATGTCCACACAAAAACTTGTACAGCAATCCTCATAGCAGCATTATTTGTAATGGCCAATACATGGAAACAACCCAAATGTCCACCAACTGATGAACAGATAAACAAAATGCAGTGTGTCTCTACCATGGAATATTATTCGGCCATAGAAGGAATGAAATATTGATACACACTATGACATAAAGGAACTTTGAAAACATTGTGCTAAGAGGGAAAAAAGCCACAAAAGATCACATATTATACAAATCTATTTGTCCAGATTAGACAAGTCTATAGTGACAAAAAAATGAATCAATCGTTTCCAAAGACTGGGGGCCAAGGCAGGTGGGGGGGAGTAGGAGGTAGTGGATAAGGAGTGTGGTTTTCTCTATAGGGTAATGAAAGATTCTAAAAGTGACTGTGGTGATTGATGCACAGCTCTGGGAATACTCTAAAACCTACTGAATTTCAGATTTCAATAAATAAAGTGAACGGTATGTGAATCATATTTTAATAAAGCTACTATTTTAAATAATAATAATAAGGGGCTGGGCACAGGTGGTCATGCCTGCCTGTAATCCCAGCAGTTTGGGAGGCTGAAGCAGGAGGATCACTTGAGGTCAGAAGTTTGAGCCCAGTCTGAGCAATCTAGCAAGATCCTGTCT
The DNA here is from genome assembly GCF_000001405.40 of Homo sapiens. Taxonomy (NCBI): domain Eukaryota; kingdom Metazoa; phylum Chordata; class Mammalia; order Primates; family Hominidae; genus Homo; species Homo sapiens. The sequence goes on from NW_017363816.1 coordinate 135,007, forward strand.
CTATGATAAAAAAAAATAAAAAATTAGCTGGGCATGGTGGCACATGTCTGTAGTCCCAGCTACTTGGGAGACTGACATGGGAGGATTGCTTGAGCCCAGGAGTTTGAAGCTACAGTGACTCATGATCATGTCACTGTACTGCAGCCTGGGTGACAGAACAAGACCCTGTCTCTAAAAAGGAAAGAAGAGAAATGCAAGTTTTTATCACTTTGTGAGTGTAGCCAAGTTTGCGGGGAAATAGACAAGAATAAAAGGGCACTGAATAATGAAGGTGAGTGGCTGGTTAGGCTCATTTGCTAGCTAATCAGCTTCTAAAAAATTTATTAGTAAAGTTACAGCTCTGGGGATAACCACACAGTCAAAGAATGAATGCTAAATTCATTACAAATGCTCATGGTCTTTCTTTACATGCCTTCTAGTGAAAAATTCCTAAGAGCCTGAACAGCAAGTCTGCAACTATAGCAGCTGTTTATTAAAGACTACAAAAAAGAAAAGGAGGCTGGGCATGGTGGCTCACACCTGTAATCTCTACATTTTGGGAGGCCGAGGCAGGCAGTTCACCTTAGGTCAACAGTTCGAGACCAGCCTGGCCAACATGGTGAAACCCCGTATTTACTAAAAATACAAAAATTAGCTGGGTGTGGTCGCATGTGGCTGCAATCCCAGCTACTCAAGAGGCTGAGGCAGGAGAACTGCTTGAGCCCAGCAGCCGGAGGTTGCAGTGAGCCAAAATCACACCATTGCACTCCAGCCTGGGTGACAAAAGCAAGACTCCATCTAAAAAAAAAAAAAAAAGAAGAAGAAGAAGAAATGGCATCTTCTTCAAGAATGACATAGTGTTTCATGATAAAGAAGCTCTAATTTTGCATTTGTGTTGATTTGATTTAGCCAATATGACACCAATCTTGGATAAAGTGCAAACAACACAATTTCATTTTCTCTTTAATTAAAACTGATTAGGTAGTGTAATATCAATTGTGATCTTATTAAAAACTGATCAGATAAAAAAATTATGGAATGATGGAGCCAATAAGATGTTACAACCTCTTCCAAGGAGAATTTAAAAATCCACACATATCTGAGATGATCAAATATGAGGAAATATACTGAATTACTATATTTAAAAATAAACTGATTATATAGCCAACAACAACTGGACAGAGGTCTCCTCATCCACAGCCACATAAACTCGATCATGTGGCTATGCAGTTGCAAGGTCTGCATAGCCTAGAAGGGATTGGTCTGACTTGAGATTTCATTTCATTTGTATTTGTATTTTGAGACAGGGTCCCACTCTGTCACCCAGGCTGGAGTGCAGTGATATAATCATAGCTAACTGCAGCCTTGACCAACTGGGCTCAAGAGATGCTCCTGCCTCAGATGCCCCAGAACCTGGGAATACAGGCAAGTACTATCATGTAGTGCCATTTTTTTTTTTTTTTTTTACTTTGGTAGAGAGAGAACTCTTGCTATGTTGCCCAAGCTGGCCTCAAACTCCTAGCCTCAAGAGATCTGCCTACCTCAGCCTCCTGAGTAACTTCCTATTTATTCCTTTAATAAAAAGAAATTTTATTAAATTTCTTTCTTTTATTTTTGTAGAGAGGAGGTCTTGCTATGTTGCCCAGGTTGCTCTCCAACTCATGGCCTTAAACATACTCCCATCTCTGCCTGTCAAGCTGTTGGAACTATAGGTGTGAGCCACTGCACCTGGCCTGACTTGAGATTTCTTTAGTCTTGCATCCTTTACTTGGTAGGACTGGGAAAGGCAGTAATGTTTTTTTTTTTAATTACTTAATAATTCAATTAGACTCAAACTCAACCTTGACTCCTGCATTCTCTCACAGTTCACATCCAGTCTGCCAGGAAATCCTGTTGACTGACTTCAACGTGTATTCAGGCTCTGACCATCTCTCACCACCACCATGACCCTGGTCAGGACCAATACCATCTCCCACCTGGATGCTGCCACAGCTTGGCCCCCATGCTTCTACCCAAATCTTCCCACAGTCTTTCTCAACTCAGCAGCCAGGGGGTGCTTTTAAATCAGGAGACAGATCATGTTGTCTCTCTGCTCAGAACCACTCTGCGGTTCCCATTTTAGTCAGAGTAAAAGCCAAAGCCACACCAATAGCCTCCCAGGGCTTATGTGATCTGTACTGATCCCAGCCCAGCCCTGGCTCCTACGCTACCTCTCTCCCTCTATCTCTTTGCTCCACTGGCCTCCTTCCAGAGCCTCATACACACCAGGGAGTTTCCTCCTAATGCCTTTATCCTGTTGATTCAGCCTACAATGCTCTTCCCTCACCACCCTGGCCAGCTCCATCACCTGCTTCAAACTTTTGCTCAGTTTTCATTTATTACCACTCTACTTAACATTGCCATCTGTCCCCATTCCCATCATGCTCATTTCTTTCTATCTTTTTGAAACAGGGTCTTGCTCTATTGACCAGGATGGAGTACAGTGGTGCAATCATAGCTCACAGCAATCTCAACCTCTCAGGCTTAAACAATCCTCCTGCCTTGGCCTGCCTAGGAGCTGAGACTACAGGTGCATGCCACAACACCTGGCTAATTTTTCTGCCTCCTGGGTTCAAGCCATTCTCCTGCCTCAGCCTCCAGAGTAGCTGGGACTACATACAGGCGCCTGCCACCACACCAAGCTAATTTTTGTTTTTTAGTAGAGACGGGGTTTCACCATGTTGGTCAGGCTGGTCATGAACCCCTGACCTCAAGTGATCCACCCACCTTGGCCTCCCAAAGTTCTGGGATTACAGGCTGAGACATTGCGTCCAGCCCCAACCACATTTTTTGAGGCTTGGAACTTTCAGCCTCACCCACTGAACTCCAGGAGGCAAAAGGGGCTGGAGATTAATTTAACCACCAATGGCCAATGATTTTATCAATCATGCCTCCATAAAAACCCTAAACAATAGGGTTTGGAGAGCTTCCAGGTTGCTGAACACAAGGAGGTGCTGGGAGGGTAGGGTGCCAAACAGAGGGAATGGAAGTGCCCCTCCCCACTTACCTTACCCTGTGCATCTCTTTCATTGGCTGTTCCTGAGATGCAGCCTTTACATTGAGCCAGTAATAGAAAATAAACTGGCCAGATGTGGTGGCTCATGCCTGTAACCCCAGCACTTTCCCAGATCTTTCTACTTTGGCCTCCAAAGTAGCTGGGACCACAGGCATGCATTAGTGTACCATCATACCTGGCTATTTTTTTTTTTTTATTTTTAGTAGAGACACGGTCTCACCATGTTTCCCAGGCTTGTTTCAAACTTCTGGGATCAAGCAATCCTTTTGCCTCAGCGTCTCGGCGTGCTGGGGTTACAGGTGTGGGCCACTGCGCCTGGCCTGGAACCTTGCTACTTGTATAGTCTGCAGAACTGTGAGCCAAATGAACCTTTTTCTTTATAAACTACCCAGCCTCAGGTGTTTCCTTATAACAATGGAAAATGGACTAATATAGGAGTCCTATGCTAACATTTACCAGACTGTGATGAGCACAATGACATAAGTATAGAGTGGGACTGAAACGCTCCCAAGGGGTTTCTTGTTGCATCATAGAGTGGGGTGAGACATCTCAGCTGAGGCCAAAGATGAGCAAAAATGAGAGTTAAAGAGTGATGACGGGGGTAGGGAAAGGGTTTCCTGAAGGACCAATAAAGTCCCCCAAGGAAACTGACATTCCATGTGGCTGCAGGGTAGGGATATGGGGAGGGTGGTGCAGGATAAAACTGGGAAGGTGAGTGGAAGCCAGCTCTTACCAGGTCCTGTGGCCAAATTAATTTGGACTTTGCCTTAAAGGCAATGGGAAGTCAGCAGCAGGTTTTAATCAAGGACCATTTTGACCCAAATTTGCCTTTTAGGAGAATTCCTCTGGCTTCAGTGAACAGGCTGAAGTGAGCAAGCCTAGAAGTCAGGAAGACAACTGGAGGCCCTTACAATAAACCAGTGTAAAAGAGAATAAGGCCAGGCATGGTGGCTCCTGCCTGTAATCTCAAAACTTTGGAAGTCCAAGGGGGGTGGACAGCTTGATCCCAGGAGTTTGATACCAGCCTGAGCAATGTGGTGAAACCACATCTCTACAAAAAACACAAAAATTAGCTGGGTGTGGTAGCTTATACCTGTGGTCCCAGCTACCCCAGAGGCTGAGGTGGGGGGATAGCTTGAGCCTGGGAGGTTTAGACTGCAGTGAGCTGAGATCACACAACTGAGCTCCAGCTTGGGCAACAGAAGGAGACTGTCTCAAAAAAAAAAAAAAATCCCATTCTTCACCTATTACTGCCCTAATGTTCTCATAAGTACCTTGGTGACACAATGAATTCAACTGTCATTGCAATTCAGCAATCTACACATTTAAGTTTGTGTTTGATTTTCAATAATATCAGCCCTACAGATACAAGAAATAAGGAATGTGTTCGGGCTATCCTGGAAGCTCTCTGGATCCTAGACCATGACTTACGCTAAGAGGTAAAGACTTGAGCTTTTTGTTTTTCTCTCTGTAAGTGCTCAAGTGCAGCGGTCCCCAATTTTTTTGGCACCAGGGACCAGTTTTGTGGAAGAAAATTTTTCCACAGACTGGGGGAAGTGGGTCAGTTTTTGGAATGTTTCAAGCAACGTACATTTATTGTGTACTTTATTTCTATTATTATTACATTGTAGTATATAATGAAATAATTATATAACTCACCATAATGTAGAATCAGTGGGAGTCCTGAGCTTGTTTTTCTGCAACGAGACAGTCCCATCTGGGGGTGATGGGAAACAGTGACAGATTATCAGGCATTAGATTCTCATAAGGACAGAGCAAGCTAGATCCCTCACATGCACAGTTCACAATAGGATTCGTGCTCCTATGAGAATCTAAAGCTGCCACTGACCTGACAGGAGACAGAGATCAGACAGTAATGTGGGGAGTGGCTGTAAATACAGATGAAGCTTCACTCACCCATCTGCTGCTCACCTGCTGTGTGGCCCAATACAGGCCTGTCATCCAGGGATTAGGGGGCCCTGTTCAAGTGCATCCAAAAGGACCCTTCCCACACCAGTCTTCATAGTGGTCAAATGCAGCAACCACTTAGCTCCCAAGGCATATGCCTCAGCTGGCATTTAATCACAATCAACAGTAAGTGATAGCTTGAGTCATTGTGAGGTCACTTTCTGGAAATCACCAGCATCACATTTCCCATTGGTAAGGAGCTCAGCACTGCCCCTTGGATAACCAAACCTATGCCCAAATCCCATGTGTGTGGGTCTAGCTCCTGGGACCCTTCCTAGCATCAATTCTGTATTTGTAGGAGCCCAATCGGGGGATATAAACCACTCAAAAGTTTAAAGTGGTAAAATTTAAAATAAAAAAATTATTATAACAGGGCAACAGCATAATGAGAGATGGGCTACCAAAAAGTAAAGAGAACACTAGAGAACACAGGACTAGCAGATGCCAGGCATGGTAGCTCCTACTTATAATTCCAGCAATTTGGAAAGCCAAGGCATGAGGATTTCTTGACGCCAGGAGTTTGAGAGCAGCCTGGGAAGCACAGTGAGGCCATCTCTAAAACAAACAAACAAAAAAGCTCCATCTCAAAAATAAATAATAAAAAAATAAAATAAAATAAAATAAAATTAGCTTTTCATGCTCTTGTACATCTGTAGTCCCAGCTCCTTGGGAGGCTGAGGTGGGAGTATTGCTTGAGCCCAGGAGTTTGAAGCTACAGCAAGCCATGATCACACCACTGCACTGCAGCCCGAGTGACAGAGCAAGACCCTGTCTCTAAAAAGGAAAGAAAAGAAATGCAAGTTTTTATCACTTTGTGAGAGTAACAAAGTTTGAGGAGAAACAGAACAACAAAAGAGCACTGAATGGTG